>NC_000003.12:166281331-166432846 GCF_000001405.40 Homo sapiens | reverse complement strand
TACAGGACACATGAGATATTTTAATACAAGCATGCAATGCATAATAATCACATAAGGTTAAAGAGGTATCCATCACATCAAGCATTTATCCTTTCTGTGTGTTACAAACAATCCAATTATACTTTTACTTACCTTAAACTGTACAATAAATTATTGTCGATTGTAGTCACCCTATGTGCTAACAAACACTAGATCATATTTATTCAGTCTAACTATATTTTTGTACCTATTAACAATCCCTACTTTCTCTTCACACTAATTTTCCAAGCCTCTGTTAACACTGTTCTTCCCTCTATCTCTGTGAGTTTAATACTTTTAATTTTTAGCTTGCACAAGTAAGTAAGAACATGTGAAGTTTGTCTTTCTGCACCTTGCTTATTTCACTTAACATAATGACCTCCAGTTCCATTCATATTGTTGCAGATAACAAGATCCCATTCTTTTTTATGGCTGAATAGAATTCCAGTGTGTATATGTAATATGTTTTCTTTGTCCATTTGTCTGCTTATGGACACTTAGTTTTTATCCGAATTGTGGCTACTGTGAATAGTGCTGCAATAAACATGGGAGTGCAGATATCTCTGATATACTGATTTCCTTTCTTTTGGGTGTACATTTAGCAGTAAGATTGCTGGATCACACGGTAGCTCTAATTTTAGATTGTTGAGAAATCTCTATACTGTTCTCAATAGTGGTTGTGCTAATTTACATTCCCAACAACAGTGTACAAAGTTTCCTTTTCTCCACATTCTCGCCAGCATTTGTTACTGCCTCCCTTTTTTCACAAAAGCCATTTTAACTGTGGTGGGATGATATCTCATTGTAGTTTTGATTTTCATTTCTCTGATGATCAGTGATGCTGGGAACCTTTTCATATGCCTGTCTTTTGTAAGTCTTCTTTTGAGAAATGTCTCTTCAGACCTTTTGTCCATTTTTTCAGTTGGATTTTTAGATTTCTTTTTCCTATGGAGTTGTTTGAGCTCCTTATATATTCTGGTTATTAATCCCTTGGCAAATGGGTAGTTTACAAATATTTTTCTCTCATTCTGTGGATTGTCTCCACACTTCGTTGATTGTTTCCTTTGCTATGCAGGAGCTTTCCAATTTGATATGCTTCCATTTGTCCATTTTTGTTTCGGTTGCCTGTGCTTTTGGGTATTATTCAGGAAATCTTTGCTCAGTCCAATGTCCTAGAGAGTTTCCCCAATATTTTCCAATAGTAGTTTTATAGTTTAAGGTTTTAGATTTAAGTCTTTAATTCATTTTGATTTAATTTTTGTATATGGTGAGAAATATGGGTCTACTTTCATTCTTCTGCATATGGTACTATAATAGTACCTATTATAGTTTCCCAGAATCATTTTTTAAAGAGCCTATTCTTTTCCCAATTATATTCTTGTCTTCTTTGTCAAAACTGGTTCGCTGTAGATGTATTGATATATTTCTTGCTTATCTATTCTGCGCCATTGGTTTATATGTCTTATTTTATGCCAGTACCATGCTATTTTGATTTCTATAGGCTTACAGTAAAATTTGAAGTCAGGCAATGTGATTCTTCCACTTTTGTTCTTTTTACTCAAATAACTTTGGCTCTTCTAGTGTTCAATATAAGTTTTAGGATTCTTTTCCCTATTTTTGTGAAGAATGTCCTTGGTATTTTGATTGGAATTGCATTAAATCTCTAGATTGCTTTGGGTGATATGGATATTTTAATAATGTGATTCTTCCAATCCTTGTTCATGGAATGTCTTTCCAATTTTTTGTATTATTTTCTATTTCTTTAATCGGTATTTTAGAATGAGTTTTCATTATAGAGATCTTTTGCTTCTTTGTTTAATTTCTAGCTAATTTTATTTGTATTTAAAGTGGGATTACTTCCTTTGTTTTCCTTTTTCGGTTGTTTGTGCAACCATATGGAAATGCTACTGATTTTTGTATATTGATTTTGTATCCTGCAACTTTACTGAATTTGTTTATCAATCCAATAGTTTTTTTTGGTGGAATCTTTAGGTTTTCCAAAATATAAAATCACATCATCTGCAAACAAGGATAATTTGACTTTTTTCTTTCTAATTTGGATGTCCTATATTTTATTTATTTCTTCCTCTTTTCTGATTGCTCTAGCTAGGTCTTCTAGTAATATAATGGTAAAAGTGGGCATTCTTGTTGTGTTCTAGATCAAAGAGGAAAGGCTTTCCTTTTCTCCCCATTCATTAAAATGCTACCTGTGGGTCTGTTGTATACGGCTTTTATTGTGTTTAACTATGTTACTTCTATACTCAGTTTTCAAGTATTTTATTATGAAGGGATTTTGAATTTTCAAATGTTGTTCAGGTGTCAATTGAAATGATTATATGATTTTTGTCCCTCATTCTGTTGATATGCTATATCACAGTAATTGATTTGAGTATGTTGAACCATCTTGCATCCCTGGGAAAAATCCCACTTGGTAATGATGAATAATCATTTTAATGTGTTGTTTAATTTTGTTTTCTAGTATTTTGATAATATTGGCACATATGTTCATCATGGATATTAAACTATAGTTTTATTTATTTATTTATTTATCTTTGTCCAATGTGGGTATCATGGTAAAACTGGCCTCACAGAATGAACTTAAAACTATTCTCTCCTCCTCTATTTTTCAAAAAAGCTTGAGTATGACTGGTATTAGTTCTTCTTTAAATGTTTCTTACAATTCAGCATTGAAGCCATTAGGTCCTGGGGTTTTCCTTGCTAAGATAATTTTTATTATAGCTTCACACTCATTATTTGTTATTTATCTGTGCAGGTTTTGGATTTCCTCATGATTCAATCTTGGTCAATTGTATATGTCTAGGAATTTACTTATTTCCTCTCAGTTTTCCAATCTATTGGCATATAATTGTTCATAGTAGCTTCTAATAATCTCTGAATTTCTGTAGTATCAGTTGTAATGTCTTTTTTTCACTTGTGATTTTATTTATTTGAGTCTTCTATCTTTTTTCTTAGTTTGACTAAAGGTTTGTCAATTGTATATGTCTTTTCAAAAAAAAAAAATTTTTTGTCCCATGGATCTTTTATATATTTTTAAATTTCTGTTTCACTTATTTCTGCTCCTGTCTTTATTATTAATTTTCTTCTACTAATTTCTGGGCTTGGTTTGGTCTTACTTTTCTAGTTTTTTTTAAATTCATTGTTTGGTTGTTTATTTGAAGTTTTCTATTTTTTTGAGGTGGGTGCTTATAGCTATAAACTTTTCTTTTACGCCTGTTTTCACTGTATCTTGTGTGTTTTGGTAGGTTGTGTATCCATTAATATTGGTTTCAATGAAGTTTTAAATTTCCTTCTTTATTTCTTCATTGACCCAGTTGTCATGCAGGAGCACATTGTTTAATTTCTATGTGTGTGTATACTTTCCAAAATACCTATGGTTATTGACTTCTGGCTTTATACCATTTTGGTCAAAAAATATACTTGATATGATTTAGTTTTTAGAACAATTTTAAGATTAGTTTTGTGGTGTATGGTCTTTTTTTGAGAGTGATTTATATGCTGTAGAGAAGAATATGTATTCTGCATCTGTTAGATAAAATGGTCTCATAATAGCGATTAGATCTATTTAGTCTATAGTGCAGATGAAGTCCAATATTTCTTTGTTGATTTTTTGTCTGGATTATCTCTCCACTGCTGATAGTGAGATGTTGAAGTCTCCAGCTGTTATTGCATTTGGCTGTATCTCTCTCTTTATTTCTAATTATATTTGTTTCCTATATCTGGGTGCTGTAATGTTGGGTGCTTATATATTTAAAATTGTTACATTGTCTTGCTGAATTGAAACTGTATCGTTACATAGCGGCATTCTTTGTCCCTTTTTATAATTTTTGCCTTGAAATATATTTTCTCTGTATATCTATTCTTGCTCTTTTTTGGTTTCTATTTTTACAGAATATATTTTTCTATTTATTTTCAGTCTATGTGTTTGTTTACAGGTGAAGTGTATTTCTTGTAGTCAACAGACTATTGGGTTTTTCTTTTTTATACATTCAGCCATTCAATATCTTCTGAATGGAGAGTTTAGCCCGTTTGTATTCATTGATATGATTGGCAAATGAGGATTTACTCCTGCATTTTGTTATTTGTTTCCTTGGTGTTTTGTAGTCTTCTCTTTCTTCTTCACTTTTTCCTGTCTTTCTTTAAGTGAAGGTGATTTTCTCTAGTGGTCTGTTTTAATTTCTTGGTTTGTGTGTGTGTGTGTTATGTGTGTGTGCTTCTCTAGTATGTTTTTTGATTTGAGATTACCATAATGCTTGCAAATAATACCTTATAACCAATTATTTTACAGTAATAGTAACTTAACTCTGATTGTATAAACAAAAGAGTAACAAGCAAAGAGAAAACCGACAGAGACCAAATTTTCACTTTTCTATTTGTTAACATTTTTTTCTATTTATATCTTATTGTACTGTCTATGTCTTGATAAATTGTAGCTCTTACGTTTGATTTGTTCACATTTTAATCTTTCCACTCAAGACATGTGTAATATACACATTAAAATTTCTTTGTTATAATATTCTGTGTTTTTCTGTGCACTTACTATAACCAGTATTAGATTTTCAGTTTTTCTCTTTCTTTCTCTTTCTTTTCTTTCTTTCTTTCTTTCTTTCTTTTCTTTCTTTCTTTCTTTCTTTCTTTCTTTCTTTCTTTCTTTCTTTCTTTCTTTCTTTCTTTCTCTCTTTCTTTCCCTCTCTCTCTCTCCTCTCCTCTCCTCTTTTCTTTCTTTCTTTCTTTCTTTTTCTTTCTTTCTCTCTCTTTCTCTATTTTCAATAGGCTTTAACTCCTATAACCCAGGCTGGAGTGCAGTAGTGTGATCTCTGCTGACTGCAACCTCCACGTTTTGTGTTCAAGTGATTCTCCTGCCTCAACCTCTTGACTAAATGGAGCTATAGACATGTGGCACCATATCCAGCTATTGTTTGTATTTTTGGTAGAGGTGGGGTTTTGCCATGTTGTCCAGACTGGCTTCGAACTCCTGAACTCAAGCAGTCTGCCCACCTTGGCCTCTCAAAGTGCTGGGATAACAGGTAGAAGCCACTGTGCCCGGCCCTGTTGATTTCTTATTGTTCATTGACATCTTTTTCTTTCAGACTGAAGAACTCTCTTTAGTATTCCTTGTAGGACAGGTTTTGTGTTGAAATTCCTCAGCTTTTGCTTCTCTTGGTAAGTCTTTATTTCGCTTTCATATTTGAAGTATATTTTTGCTGGACATACTATTCTAGAATACACATTTCTTTCTTTCTTCAGTGCTTTAAACATGTCATGCCTCTTTCTCCTGGCCTGTAAGGTTTCTTCTTAGAATTCTGCTGCCAGGTGTAATGGGGCTCCATTTTATGTTATTCATTTCTTTTTTCTGTCTGCTTTAGGATCCTTTCTTAATATTTTACTTTTGGGAGTTTCCTTATTAAATGTGTTTAGGTAGTCTTATTTAGTCTTATTTATTAGGTTAATCTGCTGAGTATTCTATAAACTTTTTGTACATGAGCATTGATACCTTTCTGTAGGTTTGAGAAGTTCTCTGTTATTATCCATTTGAATCAGCTTTGTACCCCTATCTCTTTACCTCCACTTTAAGCCCAACAATTCTTAGATTTGCCCTTTTGAGCCAATTTTCTAGATCTTGAAGGCATGTTTTATTCTTTTTCTCTTTTGTCTCCTTTGCGCATTTTCAAATAGACAGTCTTCATGCTCATTGACACTTTCTTCTGTTTGATCAGTTCTGCTATTAAGAGACGGATGCATTTTTCAGTCTGTCAATTGAATTTTTAAGTTCTAGATTTTGTGTTTGATTCTTTTTAATTATTTCAATATCTTTGTTGAATTTATCTGATAGGATTCTGAATTTCTTCTCTGTGTTATCTTGAATTTCTTTGCATTGCCTCAAAACAGCTGTTTTGAATTCCTTGTCTGAATGTTGCTGTAACTCTGTCTCTCCACAATTGGTCCTGGGTGCCTTATTTAGTTTGTTTGATAATGTCATGTTTTTCTGGATGGTTCTGATGCTTGATGGATGTTCACTGGTGTCTGGCATTGAAGAGTTAGTTATTTGTTGTAATCTTCTTTGCAGTCTGGGCATGTTTCTACCTGTCTTTCTTGAAAAGGCTTTTTTGGGTATTTGACCTGTGTTGTGACACAAATTTTTAGTCACTGCAGTTGCATCTGCATTAGAGGGCATGTTATAATATTGTGGCTATTGCAAACTCATAGAGGTACCACATTAGTGGTCTTGGATAAGATCTGTAAGAATTCTCGAGGTTAACAGACATAGGCTCTTGTTCCATTCCCTTACTTTCTTCCAAACAAATGGAAATTGAGTCTCTCTCTTTGTGCTGAAATTCCTGGAGCTGTGGGAGAGGTGAAGCCAGCACATCTCTGAGTCTCACCTAAGGCTCATGGTGAGTATTGCTTGACTACTACTGACTGTTATGGGCCTACGGGCTCTTTAGTCAGAAGATATGAATCCTACAAGGACTGAATCTTTTTGCAGCAGGCTCCCTTTTGGCCCGGCATGTGTCTAGAAATGTCATCCAGGAGGTAGAACATGGAATGGGGGCCTCAGGACTCTGTCTGCTGCCCTGTCCTACTGTGGCTGAGCTGGTTTCCAAGTTGCAAGAAAAAGTCATTTTTTCTCTTTCCTCTCCTCTCCTCAAATGGAAGGAAGAACTCTTTCCCAGAGCTGCAAACTGCACTGCCTTCAGTTGCCTGAGGGGTGGCACAAGCGCTCCTTTGGTCATACAGGCTTGGGTCTCATTATGTCACATGTGCTTCAACTTCACCAACTCTAAGCCCAGCACAACACCAGGACTTGCCCAGAAATTGGAGTCCTTGTGCCTTGAATGTCTGCCTAATTTATTTAGAACCTAGAATACTTTATCCCTTGGTGTCAAGGCTTCCTGGTACTTAGGATTTGGCCCCTGGCATACGTAATTCACCTCTGTTTAGGGCTAGTTCAAATGTTCATTCTGTGGGTGCTGGCTGAGTTATCCCTGGTGTTGTTTTCTGAGATAACAGGGAAGCACTGCATTCCCAAATAATGTCCCACTGTCACTGTGCTCTCCTTCCCCCAAGTGCATAGATTCTCTTTCCATGCCATGTGGCTGCTGCCAGGGAATGGGAGGCGGGGGTGGCATCAGCAATTCAAGACTTTCTTTCCTAACCCTCAGTGCCTCTTTAAGTGATTTGAAGTTAAAACCAGATACTGTCACCATTCACCTGATATTTGATTCTTATGAAGGTGCTTTTATTTGTGTGGATAGTTGTTCAATTTGGTGTTCCTGAAGGGAGGATGATATCAGTGGATGCTTCTATTTGGCTATCTTGCGCCACCATCTCTCTAAAGTTGCTTTTAACACAGGAAAAACATACAATTTTTTTTTTTACATTTTAAATGTTTAAAGATGTAAAATAAAAATGAACCACATTGCAGGGAAATGACCAGTGATAAGACTCTTTAAGGCATAAGACAGAAGTGTTCAGAAAGAGCAACTCAGATGTGAAGGAGAGCAGAGTACAATAAAGGTAAAGCTGTAGAATGTTTAGAGAACTCATATCAGAAAATCTTGGTTTTGTCATTAGAGCAGTAAGTGATAAGATCAGTTGAGAAACCAAGATTTTCCTGTTTGTTTGCTTTTTTAAAAACATTCAGGGCAGAAAAATTGAAAAAAAATACACAATTTAATATAAGTAAATTGATAAAATATTTAGATAAGCAATTAAGTTTAAATCAATGAGAAAATAGAGCTTGATTTTTTAAAAGTTTTTGTTAAAGATTTTAAAATGAAATTAATCAACATGTTTTCTGACTGTTTCCATAAACATCTACCAAATTGAAGATAAAAGAAAAGATTTCTCAACACTGTGTTTGAATCAACTCTTGAAAAATTAAGGCTGATAGTGTGTCCAGAATTGGTGGGTTCTTGGTCTCACTGACTTCAAGAATGAAGCCGTGGACCCTCGTGGTGAGTGTTACAGCTCTTAAGGTGGCACGTCTGGAGTTTGTTCCTTCTGATGTTTGGATGTGTTCAGAGTTTCTTCCTTCTGGTGGGTTCGCGATCTTGCTGGCTTCAGGAGTGAAGCTGCAGACCTTCGCGGTGAGTGTTACAGCTCATAAAAGCAGTGTGGACCCAAAGAGTGAGCAGTAGCAAGATTTATTGCAAGGAGCAAAAGAACAAAGCTTCCACAGTGTGGAAGGGGACCCGAGCCGGTTGCCACTGCTGGCTCCGGCAGCCTGCTTTTATTCTTATCTGGCCCCACCCACGTCCTGCTGATTGGTAGAGCCGAGTGGTCTGTTTTGACAGGGCGCTGATTGGTGCGTTTACAATCCCTGAGCTAGACACAAAGGTTCTCCACGTCCCCACTAGATTAGCTAGATACAGCGTGTGGACACAAAGGTTCTCCAAGTCCCCACCAGACTCAGGAGCCCAGCTGGCTTCACCCAGTGGATCCCGCACCAGGCTGCAGGTGGAGCTGCCTGCCAGTCCCATGCCCTGTGCCCACACTCCTCGGCCCTTGGGTGGTCGATGGGACTGGGCACCGTGCAGCAGGGGGCAGTGCTCATTGGGGAGGCTCCAGCCGCACAGGAGGCCATGGAGGGGGTGGGAGGCTCAGGCATGGTGGGCTGCAGGCCTCCAGCCCTGCCCTGGGGGAAGGCAGCTAAGGCCTGGCGAGAAATTGAGCACAGCAGCTGCTGGCCCAGGTGCAAAGCCCCTCACTGCCTGGGGCCGGTGGGGCCCGCCCAGCCGCTCTGAGCGCGGGGTCTGCTGAGCCCATGCCCACCCAGAACTCACGCTGGTCCGCAAGCACCGCGCAGCCCCGGTTCCCGCTGGCGCCTCTCCCTCCACACCCCGCTGCAAGCTGAGAGAGCCGGCTCCCGCCTTGGCCAGCCCAGAAAGGGGCTCCCACAGTGCAGCAGCAGGCTGAAGGGCTCCTCAAGTGCCACCAAAGTGGGAGCCCAGGCAAAGGAGGTGCCGAGAGTGAGCAAGGGCTGTGAGGACTGCCAGCACGCTGTCACCTCTCAATAGGAAGCAAAAAATCCCGAAATTTCTAGTATAGATAGAGTGACAAGTTCCATAATCCAGAGTGGAATGGTGGCATGCGATGGCAAAACAGCTTTTGTAACGTGGGCTAACAGGCTTCATTTTGGGTTCTAACTTCAACTGATTGTTAGTGGTTACTTGAAGAATTGATATGGAAAAGATTCAAAAGCTTTATCAGGCTCAACAAGACATGCTATTGTACTGTACTTGATTAGTGGTGTTGGCTGCACATTCAAAAGTGAGAAAGGATCCGGTAGTACCATGCATTTTTGTTGTTGTTGTATTTTGTTAGAAAAGTTTGATTTGGGATGAGTTTTTAAAAATCTAGTGCAAAGCGTTGAAGGAAAAATAATAGTTTATTAATATGAAAGTAGAGAGAAATTTGGAGTTTGAGATTATTCCAACAGAAGACACTAAAGATTATTCTTCTGCTTAATATGCTCTGGTGGCTTCTAACTTAACTAAAATACAATCCAGAGTATGTACAATGGCCACACAGGCTCCACATGATGAGGCTCCCAGTTACCTCTCTGACATCATCTACTACCTTTCTTTCCTTCACTCACTCTGCTCCTTATCCACTGGCTTTTTGCTGTACCTTAAACATTTTGAGTACATTCCTGTTGTAGGGCTTTTGCTTATGCTACTTCTGCCTGGGTAGTTTACCCTTAGCTAGATCCAGGGTTTGATTTATCACCTCCTTCGGAGCTTTACTTACGTTTTTATTTTTTCATTAACATTTTATTTAAAATTCAAAGTCTACTCACATTCTATCTCACTCACTCTCAATATGTAGTTTCTGGTCAATTATGTTTTTATTTTTTATTATTTTAAATTTATTTTTAATTTTTTTATAACTTACCACCTTCTAATAGACTGTACATTTTATTTATTTATTCTGCATTACCTCTTGCCCCTACCACCAGCTTTACTAGATCATAACTTAATGAGGACAGAAATATGGGTTCAGTTTATGGTACTGTCACCAACACTGGTCTATGCTTGCACATACTATGTATTCCATAAATATTTGTTGAATGAATGATTAGAATAATACAGAGGA
The DNA here is from genome assembly GCF_000001405.40 of Homo sapiens. Taxonomy (NCBI): domain Eukaryota; kingdom Metazoa; phylum Chordata; class Mammalia; order Primates; family Hominidae; genus Homo; species Homo sapiens. The sequence goes on along the minus strand of NC_000003.12, from coordinate 166,422,712 downwards.
TTAGCCTACAGTTGATAATATGACACATTGAGGAAAAAATGTTCTGCTGTGAAAATGTATTTATAGATATAGATATGAATTCCAAAAATTAAATGGCATTAAGAGCTGCAGCAACTTCCCAAAACATCAGCAAATAGATGATGCAGATAGTAGGTGAAAAATAATAATTGTTTCATCGCAATTTGGCCAATAGAAAAGATTGTAAGGACCAGAGATGGCACATGTAGAAAGAGAAGAAAAATTAATTGAATTAGGGCAGATATGGTACAGGTAATAAAGTCCCATTTGAATATTTTCTGGCTTGACATATATTTGCCTAAAACTTCTTAAAATAAAGGATGCAGAATAGCCTATCCCAGTGTGATAGAAGCTTCCAAATCTATTTAAAGGAAATGAAAATGTGAGAAAATCAATTATCTTTATCAGAAAAGTCATCTGCAAACAAGATAGAATTTAAAGAAATTTATGATATTGATTACAAAATTTAAGTGAAAAAAATCTAAAAATCAGAGTGAGAGAGAGAGTGATCTCAATAAAGAGACAATAAAACAAAAGAGATGAACGCCGAAGATGTTTATAGAAATAATCTTTTATTTGACATCCTAAAAAAAGTTGCTGATACATTTATATATCTTATTTTAGATTCATAGCCAAGCTAAATATTTAAATTACACAGATCATCAAAACAGAAGACTAACAAGGATATTTAGGACCTGAACTCAGCTCTGAATCAAGTGGACCTGATAGATATCCACAAAACTCTCCACCCCACAAACAACAGAATATACATTCTTCTAATCACCACATGACACTCAGAAATTGGTCACACAATCAGAAGTAAAACACTCTTCAGCAAATGCAAAAGAACTGAAATGATAGCAAACAATCTCTAAGACCACAGCACAATCAAATTAGAACTCAAGATCTTAAAAATTCACTCAAAACTACACAACTACATGGAAATTGAACAAACTGCTCCTGAATGACTCCTTGGTTAATACTGAAATTAAGGCAGAAATCAAGAAATTCCTTGAAACCAATGAGAACAAAGAGATAACATAACAGAATCTCTGGGGTGCAGCTCAGCAGTATTAAGAGGAAAATGTATAGCCCTAAATGTCCACATCAAAAAGCTAAGATGATCTCAAATTAACAGCCTAACGTCACAACTAAAAGAACTAGAAAACCAAGAGCAAACAAACCCTAAAGCTACCAGAAGACCAGAAATAACCAAAATCAGAGTGGAACTGAAGAAGATAGAGACACACAAAAACTCTTCAAAACTTAAAAAATCCAGGAGCTGTTTTATATTTTTGAAAAAAAAAATTAATAAAATAGTTACACCACTAGCTAGACTAACAAAGAAGAAAGGAGAGAAGAATCAAACATGCTCAGAAATGATAAAGGGAATTTCACCACTGACCTCACAGAAATACAAACAACCATCAGAGAATACTATAAATATCCATATGCACATAAACTAGAAAATCTAGAATAAATGAATAAAGTCCTGGACACATACACCCTCCCAAGACTGAAACAGGAAGGAATTGTATCACTGAATAGACTAATAAAATTTTCTAAAATCAAGGCAGTAACAAATAGTCTACCAAGCAAAAATAGCCCAGGACCAGACAGGTTTACAAATGAATTATACCAGAGGTACAAAGAAGAGCTGATACAATTTTTACAAAAATTATTCCAAAAAATTGAAATTTTTTCCTTAATTCCTTTATGAATCCAGCATCATTCTGCTATAAAAACCTGGCAGATATAAAACAAAAGAAGAAAACTTCAGGGCAATATGCGTGATGAACATAAATGCAAAAATTCTCAATAAAATATTGGAGATCTAAGTCCAAAAGCACACCAAAAAGCTTATACGCCATGATCAAGTTGGCTTCATCCCTGGGATGCAAGATTGGTTTAACATACACAAATCAATAAATGTGATTCATCACATAAACACAAATAAAGATGAAAACCACATGATTATTTCAAGAGATGTAGAAAAGGCCTTTGATAAAATTAAACAACTCTTCATGTTAAAAACTCTCAATAAACTAGTTATTGAAGGAATATAACTCCGAATAATAAGAGCTGTATATGACAAACCCAAAACCAATAACATACTGAATGGGCAAAAGCTGGAAGCATTCCCCCTTGAAAACCAGCACAAACAAGGATGATCTCTCTCACTACTCTTATTCAACATAATATTGGAATTTCTAGTGAGGGAATTAGGCAAGAGAAAAAAATGTATTCAAATAGAGAGGAAGTCAAGTTAACTTTATTTAAATATGTCACGATTCTATGTCTAGAAAATTCCATCATTTCAGCCCCAAAGCTTCTAAAGCTCATAAGCAACTTCAGCAAAGTCTCAAGATATAAAAATGTATGTGCAGAAATAACTAGCATTCCTATACACTAACAACAGGCAAGCAGAGAGCCAAATCATGAATGAACTCTCATTCACAATTGTTACAAAAAGAGTAAGATTCCTAGGAATACAGCTAACAAGGGAAGTGAAGTACTTTTTCAAGGAAATTACAAATCACTGCTCAAGAAAATCAGAGAAGACACAAACAAATTTTTAAAAAGCCCACGCTCAAAAATAGGAAGAATCAGTATTGTTAAAATGTCGTACTGCCTAAAGTAATTTATAATTCAATGCTATTCTCATTAAACTACCATTGACAATCTTCACAGAATTATAAAAAAAAAACTATTTTAAAATTTACATGGAACCAAAAAGGAGCTTGAATATCCAAGAGAGTCCTAAACAAAAAGAACAAAGCCGGAGCTGAAGGCATCATGTTATCCAACTCCAAACTATACTACAAGGCTACAGTAACCAAAACAGCATGGTACTGGTACAAGAACAAACATGTAGGCCAATGGAATTGAATAAGAAATGCAGAAATAACACTGCACTTCCACAATCATCTGATCTTCCAAAAACCTGACAAAAACAAGCAATGGGGAAAGGATATCCTGTATAATAAATGGTGCTGAGAGAACTGGTTACCCATATGTAGAAAATTAAAACTGTACCCATTCTTTACACCTTATACAAAAATGAACTCAAGATGAAGTAAATATTTAAATGTAAAACCCCAAACTACAAAATCCCCATAAGAAAATCTAGGCAATACCATTCAGGACATAGGCACAGGCAAAGATTTCATGACAAAAAAAGCCAAAATTGATTGCAACAAAAGCAAAAATTGACAAATGGGATGTAATTAAATGAGCTTCTGCACAAGAAAAGAAATTATTATCAGAGTGAACTGACATCCCACAGAATCAGAGAAAAATGTTGCAATCTATCCATCTGACAAAGGTTTAATACCCCGAGTCTACAAGGAACTTAAATAAATTTACAAGGAAAAACAACCCCATTAAAAAGTGGGCAAAGTACATAAACAGACACACCTCAAAAGAAGACATTTATGAAGCCAATAAACATATGAAACAAAGCTCAACATCACAGATCGTTAGAGAAATGCAAATCAAAACCACAATGAGATAGCATATCATGCCAGTCAGAATGGCAATTATTAAAAAGTTGAGAAACAACAGATGCTGTTGAGGCTTTGGAGAAAAAGGGATGCTTTTACACTGTTGGTAGGAGTGTAAATTAGTTCAAACATTGTGGAAGACAGTGTGGCAATTCCTCAACGATCTAAAACCAGAAATACCATTTGACCCAGTAAGCCCATTACTGGGTATATACCCAAAGGAATATTATATTCTATTATAAAGATATATGCATCCATATGTTTATTGAAGCTTTATTCACATCAGGAAAGACATGATATCAACCTAAATGCTCATCAATGATAGACTGGATAAAAGAAAATGTGGTAAATATACATCATGGAATACTAAGAAGCCATAAAAACGAAGAAGATCATGTCCTTTGCAGGGACATAGTTGGAGATGGAAGCCATTATCCTCAGCAAACTAACACAGGAGCAGAAAACCAAATACTGTATGTTCTGACTTACAAGTAGGAGCGGAAAGATGAGAACACATGGACAGATGAGGGTGAACCACACACACTGGGGCCTGCTGGGGCAGGGCTGGGAGGAGGGAGAGGATCAGGAAGAATAGCTAATGGATGCTTGCTGTAATACCTAGGCGATGGGATGATCTGTGCAGCAAACCACCGTGGCACATGTTTACCTATGTATCAAACCTGCACATCCTGCACATATACACTTGAGCTTATAATAAATGTTGAAGATTAAAAAAAATTATGATTGTTAAATCAGAGGAAGTATGTACTTAGGTATTACAAGTAGTCGTGTTGTCCAGGATGAAGCAGAGAGACAGAGAATGAGAGACAGAGAGAGAGAGAAAGAAATGGAGAAACTATATACATTTGCATACAAGTCTTAGTGTGGATATAGTTTTCATTTCCCTTAGGTAGATATGTAGGAGTAAAATCCAAGGGTCATTTGATGAGCCTTAATCTTTTAATATATTCAAAAATCGTTTTATGTTTATAGTGACTGCATTAATTTTCAATGTATGAAGGTTTCAGTTGCTTTACATTCTCATTAATTCTTGAAGTTGTCAATCTTTTACAATTTTAGCAGGCAGTAGATTTGTAGTGGTTTCTTACTGTGTTGTTAAGTTGTATTTACCTAATGGAGGCAGTGTTTACAATATCTTAGAAGCATATTAGCATTCGTATATCTTGTTTTGTAAAATACCTATTCAAATTGCTCATTTAAAATTGTATTATTTGTCTTACTGCATTGTGGGAGTTCTTTATATATTTTGAGTAGATTTTTATATCAGATATATGACTTAAAAATATTTCTTTGAAACTGGGCATTCTCTTCATTTTCTTAATGGTGTTATTGGATGAGCAAAAAAATTTGATGTTTATATTTTCCTTTAAGTTTTGTTTGTTTTGTGTCCTATCAATTCTATCAAAGAAATTTTTGCTAACTCTAAGTCACACATATTTTTTTCAAAGTTTTTTTTTAGGAGTTTCTTGATTTTAGCTCTAATATGCAAATCCACTATCAATTTGTGATTAGATATGACACTGTAGGAGTGAAGGATTTTTTTTTCCTAGATTGGTATCTTGTATTTCAACATCATTTGCTGGAAAGACTTAACTTTTCCCAGTGAATTACCTTAGCAGTTTAATAGCCATGAATTGAAACCATATATACATGTGGGTCAGCATATGGAAGCTCGTTTATATTTTATTGAAGTTGTGAAAGGAAAATAAATCTTGGGACCCCCTAATCACTAAGCCAAAGGGAAAAAACAAACTGGGAACTGAATCAGGCAAATCTGCTCCCATTTTATTTCTAATAAGATACCTACAAAGATAAAAAAGCTGCATACTTCCCTCACAATTTGCCTACAGGAATTTCTTTGCCGGCTACAAGATCTCTATCCTAAAACATTTCTGTTGAATTTCACCTTGGCAATGTATGTTGATAGCTTGTCTTCACAGGTTCAGGACAAAGGACAGAATTCAGTCATCCCCCTGTTCACCAGAGACAAACGCGTATCTTATTGCTTCCTCTGTCCTATTGTTTATGTGAAAATGGAGATTCACTGAACCAGTCTAAGGCAAAAGTGATTATTCCTTTACCCCAGAATCATGTGGAAATTGTGTATTTAGTTAAAGCCTGATCTAAGACTCAAAATAATGCAACTCTTTGTCTCTTAGCTATCTATGACCAGGAAGCTCCTCTCCCTTACCCCTCCTTCAAGTTATTCCACCTTTCCGGAAAGAAGCAATGTACATCTTACACATATTGATTGATGTCTCATGTCTCTATAAAATGTATAAAACCAAGCTTTACCCCGATCACCTTGGGCACCTGTCATCAGAACCTCCTGAGGCTATGTCATGGATGCATCCTTAACCTTGACAAAATAAACTTTCTAAATTTATTGGGGCCTGTCTCAGATACTTTTTGGTACACAACTTATATGTTTATGCTTAGGTAATTATCATACTCTCAAGATTACTGTAGCTTTGTAGTATTGCATTAGTGTACTGCTATCATCCAATATTGTTTTTAAAAAATTAAATGTAATATTGACTCTTTTTGGCCATTTGTATGTGTACATAAATTTCAGAATATGCAGGTCAGGTTCTATTTAGAACACAGCTGGAATTTTGTTTGGGATAACATTAAATCTATAGATCACTCTGGCAAAAATTATCATCTTAACAATATCCAGTTTTCCAAAACATGAACATGATACTGCTTTCCATTTGATTAGGTCTTCTTTAATTTTTCTCAGTAATGTTTTATAGTTTCAGTATATAGGACTTACATATATTTTGATAAAATATTTCACAAGTTTTTTATGATATTGTAGATAGATATTTTAAAATTAAGTTTAAATTGTTTATTGTTATATATGAAATAAATTAATTTTTTAAAATTAATCTTCTACCTTACAAACTTATTAAATCCACTTAATTAGTTCTAGTAGCATTTCTTAAATTTTCTTAGTATTTCCCTTATGCACACTAATATATTTTGCAAGTAAATATTTTTATTTTTAATCATTTCTTTCAAATCAGTACGTCCCTTATTTCATTTTCTTGAATCATTCTTGTGTCGTGATAACACATTTATAGTAGACCCTGTCAAGGTTTTAATGCTAAACCCAAAATCTAAGTTTTGTTGAAGTTGTTTCTTTTGACAGTATTTGCCCCCTGAACATAGCACACACTTACCTGTTTGTTTACTGTAGCTGGCAATTTTCATTTAAAACTAAATTTTCTTGTTAAATTATTGTTGTTTTAGCTTGGCTTTCTATGAATCTCTTCTATATATAACTATTTTAATTCCTGTGTATTATAATCTGGTATAATCTTCAAGACTCACATATTTGATTCTTGTTATCAATAATCTATACTGATAATCTTGCCTCTCGTAATGTTAACCACTTTGACCTTTCTTCTTCATTTTAAGAGCTCTTCTTCAAACTTATTCAAAGGCATACAAATTGTTCTACTCATTTATTGCATTTTTGGGATTTTTTTAGTTTTGTTTTTAGGTATTTGTTTGTGTTGACTTGATCAATTCTGCTCTTTACAGTTTTTAGTACAGATTTAAATAGATTTGTCATTTCCATGATATTTTTTCTTATTTCTTATTTTGAATACTTGATAAAAAATTTTTCTGCTTTTTAATATTAGCCAATGTTCTCCTTGTGATACACTGAAGACACATATTCTTTATATTAGAAAAAAAAAAGACTACAAAGATTTTCCAAAATGAAGTACCTTTCGCCTCTTTCAGTCTTTTCAGGACTTTTTCGCTTCATTTAAAATTTTCTAGCTAGAGATAAACTCAAACAAGGTTGAGTTTCTAGTACAATTCCTTTATTTTCACACTTTAATCTTTTTGATTTGTTTTTTGACCTGGCTTTTATGTTCTTAAATCTATTACAGTACACAGATAATTATAATTGTCCTCTCTTATATATCTGCATAGACTTCTTCAAGTGTGCAATAGTACCATCAGTCAGTCTCTAAATTAAGCGTATAGCTTTTGATACCTAAATCTACTCTAACTTTTAAAATATACTGTGAATATGGAGAATGTGTAGATTTAGAGTTTGAAGAAGGGGTGCATAACTCACAAATCAATTCCCTAAGTGAGGAAACAAATTTCTGCCATCTTTTCTGAGCAGTTCACGCTCCGAGTTCCTGGGTCAGCAAATTATGAGTGAATAATATAGAAATGAAGCCACTTTTAAATTATTTCTTGGTGCCTCCCCATGAAAGATTTTGGCATGTGCTATAAAGTCTAGCTAGGTTTTTCATAATCCACATCCAGACGCTTTATTGTTAATGAGATATTTCCCACCATGTTGTCGATTTTCTTTGTGCCAGTCTTTCTTTCTTCAAATTGCTGAGAGTTTTCATCTTTCCATATATCTATGCATAAAAAATGTGGAGACCATACATTGGTGGATGCTTAGACATGTGTCATTTTGATCTAGAGGTGTCTAGAGATACTTTTTAAAGCCTTATCATGATTGAACCCCATCTATTCTCTTTGACAGAAAAATCTCCTGGATTTTCTTTTGTGAGGTTATGTGGGGAAGCTGAGCTATAAATCCTTCATCTTCTTGTACTTTTATATGCCATATTTACTTCCCAGTAAAACTCTGATTTCAAAGCTTTTGAAGTATATTTCAAAAGACTTGCTGCCAGACTGCATCAAAAAATTATAAGAACTGGACACATAGTTATGACAAGGTTTTCAGTAGCTTATAAGTTTAAAACAATTACATTTGTCTAAATATATTCCATTGCATTATAAACTTAAGCATATAAATTATGAATAAAAATTTCTGTAATTAAAAAATAAGTAATGAAGAGAAGAGAAATGACTATTTCTGCTTATTATTAGATTAATTTCTACCTTCATTACTAGGCTTTAGTTTTCATTACTCTTCTTTCCTCATCAGTGACTAGTTCATGCTAACAGGTACTCAATAAATATTTGTTGAATTAATTTTTAATATGGTGTTCTATATTTGAAAAAGCAAATACATATAAAGTGTTAATCTATTCGATGTTTCAAAAATAGATATCCAATTTAAATATTGAAATATATAAATGAATATTAAAATATGTTATATTTTGCATTTATTACTTAGAACTTGCTGTAAGCTATAATGAAAAGGGTTGGAAGTTCAATTATTTTAATTTTTAGCTTCCATAAATGAGTGAGAACATGTGCAGTTTGCTTTTCTGTACCTGACTTATTTCACTTTGTTTTCTTCAGTTATTTACTTGTATGACTCTAAGCAGTTACATTAATTTTTCTATTAAAAATTCTGTATCTCCAAATTGCTGATGGAATACCTGCACCATTTTTCTCATTTCTCCTATTCCTAGGACTGAATATGGTGACATATGAACAAATTTGGGCCAAAAAGTGATATCTAAATGCATGTAATCATCATAATTAATATTATCAATCAGTTCAGAGAATGACTCTGGATGCACACTAAACTCACTAGTTATATGGACAAGAAGAGGAATGTATGTGACTGCAGTTAAGTTCTTATGATATCCTCCCAAATGATACCCTTGACTTCATCTCTCTCCATGCCATTTCACCCTAGAACATTACTATATTGCTCTCTCTATTTTTTCTATTTTTTTGTTACTTAAAAAAATTAAAATTCCTTGGCATGGCAAGTAAGTATCTTCATAAGGTTTTTTAAATATAACTTTATAAAATCTCATTTTCAGCTACTGTTCTCTCCTTTTCTGTTATTCTCTGTTTTTTATGTTTCTTTGGTACCAAACTGCTTGCTTTTACCTGGGCACGCTAGGATCTAGTATGCATCATTGTCTTTACTCCCAGTCATCAATATTGCTGACATGCCTAACACCTTTTTGTCCATCAAAATTCAACATCTAAGTTCAGGGTCAAATGTTACCCTATCTGAGAATCATTCCATATTTGCTAAAGTCAGATTTAAACGCCAACTCTACAGAGCCCTCTTATCATTTTGTTTAAACTTGTGTATTTTCAAGATCGTCTGCTTAGTCATTTTGCTAATTTTGTGCTTCTGGGTATCTGTACATTAATAATGAGCCCTTTGACAGAAGGACCAGTTGTTTTCAAATTTGACATAAATGCAAGTAGTTTTCTTGTAAATAAACCTGAGATCAAATCATGAACACTCATATAGTTATGTGACTTTAAGCAGGCAATTTAACTTTTCTTTGTCTCACTTTGCACAGTTGTAAAATTGGGGATATAATGCCCAGAGGAAAGACTTGTCAGAACAATTAAATTATAATATTTATTTTATTACTATTATTGCTTTTCTTAACTTATAGGTCTTTGTACTGTCTCCCTGACACCACTGTACTGAATTCGGCGCTCTGCTCAGAAACACAATTATTTGTTGAAAAAATATTAGAAATTTGACTATATACATATTTAGCTATGTTTTACCAAATGACACTTTGAAAAAATGTACTCACTTATTTATTAAACTCAAAAAAAAGAACTGTACTACATGGACATTTAAAGCTACATACTGAGCTGAAATTTCACTTAGGAGTTAGGTTGCCAATAAGATTTGCAGGCAAGAAGAGCTCAATATTAAATTTCACATAAGATAGTAACCACGTTAAATACTGCATCTATGTAAAAATAATACTCTAATTACTGTCAAATCACGGTAATCATTTGGTGACACTTTTGCTATTGTATTCTCATCAGGCATGACCTTCCATTTTGCAAAGTCTTCAAAATACTGAATGAACTGGCCACTTATTGATTATACCTTCATCCTAATGCAGTGTAACATATCATGTGCAATTGATACCCTTAATTACCTTGAAGAATAAGTGGCAGAATGAATCCCCTGGGCCGTTAAAAGCAAAGAACACTACAAACAATATTGGATTATTTAATTTAAAATAAGCACGTATTTTATTGGTAGCAACTCCTCATTTTTTTCAAACTTTTAAAATAGTAGCCAGGTGTGGTATCTCATGCCTATAATCACAGCACTTTGAGAGCCTGAGGTGGAAGAATCACTTGAGCCCAGGAGTTTGAGACTAGCATGGACAACATAGCAAGACCCCATCTCTACAAAAAGAAAAGAAAAATAAATGTAAAATTTTTTTTAGATGTTAATCTGCTTTTAATAATGTTTTAATCTGACATTATGAAAAGTCATAACAGGAAGTTGCTAAGTAAAATGAAAACCTCAGAAGATATTTCAGCAAAGAGTTATAATACCTGATTTCAGACTTTGCTGCTAGCTAAATATGGTCTTAGGAGGTAGTTCACCTGCTTTAAGCCTCAGTGTCTCCAAGAGTAAAATGAACACAACTGACTCATGGCTCCAATGATAATTACCAAATAAACATTGTGATATGGAGGCATTATTTATAACTGTCATCTATATCTTCATATCTATGTCTGTATATAGCTATCTATATCTGTCTACCTATCACGTTTCCTTATATATGCATGTCTAGATATGGATATGTTTGCATTTACATCTGCCTGAATATATGTGATATAGCTTAAGAGTGTTTTAACAGGGAGAGTACCACTACTTTATTCTATAATTTTATATTAGTATATAATACACACTTATTTTCGAGTTAAATCTTTTTCAGAGTAATCATCCATAAAGAAACTTTCAGTTCACAACACCTAAAGTCTCAAAAAATGTTGAATAGTTTATTTGAAAAATGTGCTTGAATGTTGCTAAATGAAAATTACCTTATAATTAAAAAAAAAAACTTTCTGGTTTAATTGAATTCTAGGGTTAAATGAATCCCTATGTAATTTACAATATCATCAAATAGAAAAATACTATACTATCTTACACAACAGATAAGCTGGTTTTTGTGATTCAAAATGTACGTCATCTATTATTTTCTAAGCAAAGAATCTTTTTTTTTTTTTTTTTTTTTTTTTGAGACAGAGTCTTGCTCTGTAGCCCAGGCTGGAGTGCAGTGCCGCGATCTCGGCTCACTGCAAGCTCCGCCTCCCAGGTTCACGCCATTCTCCTGCCTCAGCCTCCAGAGTAGCTGGGACTACAGGCGCCCACCACCACTCCCCGCTAATTTTTTTTTTTTTTTTTTGTAGAGACGGGGTTTCACCGTGTTAGCCAAGATGGTCTCGATCTCCTGACCTCATGATCCGCCCGCCTAGGCCTCCCAAAGTGCTGGGATTACAGACGTGAGCCACCGCGCCCAGCCAAGAATCTTTTATTTTCAAGCACTTTTAGAGGAAAAACAATAATTGCATTTCTCTAATTACAATCATATGATATGTAATATCATATTACATTATTATATTAACAGAGCACCTTGTGAGCAAAATTGCTACAGCACAAAACCCATAGGAATGTGTACATCAGAAATGCTGGTTTCTATGAGATGTTTAAAAGACACTCATATAAAGGTGGTAAGTGCATGAATCCATAATTTATGAACTAAAATTCCAGTATGACAATTTCTATATATTATTAGCATGTTACTCAGGAGCTAATGTAGTAACTGTGATCTTTTGATTTTTTTAATACATAAGAGTTTTTAACATTCTTGTCTACAACCAATTTTATAACTTGATTTATAAATAAAACTGATAAAACATAAAATGTTTGTTACTGGCCAGGTGCTGTGGCTCACGCCTTTAATCCCAGCATTTGGGAGGCTGAGGTAGGTGGATCACTTGAGCAAGGAGTTCGAGACCAGCCTGGACAACACAAAATTAGCTGGACATGGTGGTGCAGGCATGTAGTCCCAGCTACTTGGGGAGCTGAGGCCAGAGTATAGCTTGAACCATGGAGGCCAAGGCTGCACTCCAGCCTGGGTGACAGAGTGAGCACTTGTCTCAAGAAAAATAAAAATATATATATATATAAAATAAAAAGAAAATGTTAATTACTCATACAAGTTGGCCAGTGTATATATACCATCTTAGTATCACAAATTTTAATGTATTTAGGTAATACCGAGGATCTTGATAAAATACAGACTTCTAGTTCAGTACATTTGAGTGATCTAACAACTCTTCCAGATAATAAGTCTGTTGGCCACTTACTTCATATTCTGAGCAGCCATATACTAAATAATAGGTGATACACTTTATACATTAAAATAATTTAGAAGTAAAAAATGAAAGTGAAATTCATAAATAATTTCAAAGATGTTGTGTCCCTTTGAGGAAGCATTTTGTAGTGTTACAGCAAATATAACCAGCAGCTGTTTCTCAAAGAGATCTATGGCAATTTATCAGAGTACCCATATAATGGGGAAATACATCTTTCAAGGGATATTGTATATGGGGTCTACAGAGATGTTCATATAAAGAGACCCAAAATGCCATTACAGTTCCCCTCCTACAGTGGGACCATGTAGAAGCACTGTGAGAAGCACTTGGTCCTGGTACAAGGCTGTTTTACAAGTATAAGTTCACATATCACACCTGTGACTATTTCTTATATCCCTGAGTACATAATTGAGGTAGATATATTTAGCAATTAGCAGAACACTGATATGAAGTCCACGGATCGATTATTAGGGGAAAGGCCAAATGGAAGTCACTGAAAGTTCCCTTCCTTGACCTAATTAGTAAAACTGAAGCAGTTATATCCAAGGTACAATGACAAATATTAGAACCACTCATACAGACTTAAAAAATGTAGCACTGGTGGTGCCCATCATACCCTTTTAAAAAAATCAGAATTACAACTTCAAAAACAAGATGAATCAGGGCAGAAGAAGAACTAAATTGAACTTCAAAAGAAGTTGTAGCCACAATTTGCACTGCCTCACATGATGTGGTGACTTTTCCAGAACATGTCATCACAGCTTCTCACACTTGATACTCAGCTATTGATCTGGTGAATGCCTTCATTTCAGTCCCATCAGGAAAGCACATCAGACTGTAGTAATTGTTTTTAGTCTTGTCCCAGGCCAGAGTTAACTCTTCTGCTCTCTGTAACTATATAGTCCAAATAAATTTTACTTAAACTTTTACTGATAATTGACAGAACATCTACTGGTGCACTATCTTAATGACATCATGTTAATAAGACATGTTTGACAAGTGGTAACTATGTTAGTTAGTCTGGTAAAATACATGTACACCAGAGACTGGAAGATAAACTCTAAAAAGGCTTATTATCATCAGGGAAATATTAGGAGTACAGTGATATTTCACATGTTGAGACATCTCATTGGGGGAAAAAAAGGATGATACAATTCATCTCAACCTCCATCAAAGGAAAAGAGGCAAAATATTTGATCAGCTACTTTTGAATTTTGGAGATAATATGTAAAACATTGGGCATACTTATATCATCTCTTTTCCAGGTGACTCAGAAGGTTGCTGGTTTTGAGAAGGCTCTACAGCAGGTGCAGGCTGTGGTCCAAGAGGTATCTATGATATATAATGATACTTTGGCAGGTTACTGGAAAGCTTAGACAGATGAGACTCAGTGAAGTTCTCTAGATTTTGGAGCAAGAGTGCATCATTCTGGATTGCATGGGTAGCTTCTTCAAAACCATATTCTTGAAATATTTATTATTATCATGTTTAGAGAAAGAATAAAGCAACAGTACTACTGTTAGTAACAACTCAGTCTTCTCTCCCTTGTTCTGAGTAAATAACCCACAGAGCACAACCATGGCCCTTCACACTAGATGACTTCCATCTTTCTTAGAAGTCTACTTCATAAACATTGTGTGTTCATTACTGCTTTTTAAGGATCTTATCACAATGTAGTAGGTCAATAATTATTTTTTTCAAACATATAATGCGTAATTTTCTCCATACTTTTATTTTTATAATGTGATGCTCTAATAACTCAAATAGCATGTGTATGTCATAGATTCTAAAAATAATAGACGCAACGTTAAATTGTAGATTGCTAATAAAGCATCCTTGTGTTATGTACAATAAAAATTACATTAATAATAGCCTGGGTATGAGTATTATAATGTTGTCTTGATTAATATTAAATTTTATAATTTGTATAACAGAATGCTAATGATATACATTTTTCAAGTAATTTTTGAACATGCTGTGTAGATTTAACACTGATGCTGTACTAATCAGAACATTATCACATGTATCTCCAAAAATATAGTAGTAAAAATTTAGAAAAATAAATACTTGACATAAGAAGCAGTAATCATATATTTTTTCAAGAATATTCAGAGAGAACCTAGATAATGTTTTCAGAAAGAAAAAGAGAAAGAGAATAAAATTGCAATGGAGAATGAAGGTGAAAGCTTCGGCTTTTATTCCAATTCTGCCACTTACTAGCTTTCTGGTCTCAGGCAAGTCATCTCACCTCTTTATATTTTATAAAATATTGTGTAGATTTAATGAGAAAGCAAATATGACACGGCATTCTCATTATTAAATTATAACAAAATTAAATATAGACTTAATGTATCTTTAATGTATAAATATAATGCAATATTTATGAGTGTGTGTGTGATATCAAGTTTTTTGCCACATGGATATAAATTTATCATAGTTGAAATCAATCACATAATTCTGCCTTTAATTTCTAAAATAGCTTTGTGGACGGTTAAACTATATGAATTTAAGATAACACTGCAAAATTCTACCCAAGTTGAGCAGTTATGTCTTCAATTACTCTCCTGTAAAGTAAATCAACCATACTTTCTTCACAACTTGATTCTAAAAGTTGAAAAACAGTTTGGAACACACCAGGAGTTTTATTTGCTTAGCTTTAGATTGAGAGTGTGGTGACGCAAAGGTGAGAAAAAAAAAAGGAATTGGTGATTACTTTTAAAATATTATTTTAGTATGTTAATGATTACATGGAACATAAGTTAATTTTTATAATTTTTCACATATTAAAAATAAGTAAAAATGAAAACTAATTTACCTTTACTATCACATTTAATTGAAATACCAGCAAAAACAAAAACGAATAAAAAAACATTTAAATAATCATAATCAATTTAACATTGGTACTTCAGACTTTGTTGTAGTTTTCTCCTCTAGACTTGCATGAACAATATAATGAGCCTACAATGTAAAGACCTAGAATTGTGCAAATAAAATGGCCAAAGCTTGGGCGTCAGGCAATCTGACTTTAAAGTTTCTGTCTCAGCACCCTAACTTTCCAGCTTCAGACATATCTCCTCTTAATCTGCCACATTTTACACTTCGCAAATATTTTTACAAACTTTTACAAAATTACACTTTGGAGATCTTTTTCAAATTGAAGGTTTGTGGCAATCCCATGTCAAGTAAAACTATCAGTATCATTTTTCCCAACAGTATGTGCTCACTTTGAGTCTCTGTGTCACATATTGGTAATTCTTGCAATATTTTAAACATCTTCATTATTATTATACTTGATTACAGTGGTCTGCAATCAGTGATGTTTGGGGTTACTTTTGTAATTGTGTTGGGGAACTACAAACTGTACCCATATATGATGGTGAACTTAATGGATAAATGTGTGTGTTCTGACTGATCCACCAACCAATCGTTCCTCCATCTCTCTCCCTCTCCTAGGGCCTCCCTATTCCTTAAGACAGAACAATACTGAAATTAGGTCAGTTAGTAACCGTACAATGGCCTTTAGGTATTCCAGTGAAAGTCACACTTTTCTCACTTTATAGCAAAAGCTAAAAATGATTAAGCTTAGTGAGAAAGGCATGTTGAGCGCTGAGATAGGCTGAAAGCTAGGCCTCTTGTACCAGTTAGACAACCTGTGAAGGCAAAAGAAAAACTTTTGAGGAAAATTAAAAATGCTACTCCAGTGAATACAAGAATAGCAAAACAGCTTTATTTCCATTATGGTGAAAATTTGAGTGGTCTGGGTAGAAGATGACAGCATTCCCTTAAGCCAAACTTCACTCAGAGCAACATTCCCTTAAGCCAAACTTCACTCAGACCACAACATTCCCTTAAGCCAAACCTCACTCAGAGCAAGGCCCCAACTCTCTTTAATTCTATGTAGTTTGAAATACATGAGGAAGCTGCAGAAAAAAAAAAAGTTTGAAGCTAACAGAGATTGATTCATGAGACTTAAGGAAGGAAGCTCTCTCCACAACACAAAATAGCAAGGCAAAGTAGCAAATGCTGATTAGAAGCTGCAGCAAGTTACCCAAAAGATCTATGTAAGATAAGTCATGAGTTGGCTACACTAAACAACAGACTCTGTAAGTAGAAAAAAAAAAGAACATTCTCATGTTAGAAAACGTCATCTAGGGCTTACATAGGTAGAGAGAAGAAGCCAGTGTCTGACATCAAAATTTCAAATGATAGGTATACTCTCTTGTTAGGGACTAATGCTGCTGGTAAATTTAAGTTGAACCCATAGCTCATTTAGTATTCTGCCTAGAGCCCTTAAGGATTCTGCTAAATCTATTCTGCCTGTGCTCTAGAAATAGAACAATAAAGACCTGATGATAGCACATCTGTTTACAGCATGGTTTGCTGAATATTTTAAGCCCAAGGTTGAAACTTAGAACTTAGAAATAATTACTTTCAAACTATTACTCATCAGTGACAATGTACCTCATCACCCAAGAGCTGTCATGGAGGTGTACAAGGATATTAATGTTGTTTTCATTCCTGTTGACACAACATCCAATCTGCAGACCATAGATCAAGGAGTCATTTTTACTTTAAAGTCTTATTATTTAAGAAATACATTTTATAAGGCTATAGCTGCTATAGACAGTGATTTCTCTGATGGAACTGGGCAAAGTAAATTAAAAAATAACTCTTGGAAAGTATTCTCCATTCAAGATACCTTTAAGAATGTTCATGATTCATGGAAGAAAGTCAAAATATCAACATTTATAGGAGTTTGAAGAAGTTGATTCTAATCCTCACGGATGACTTTGAAGATTCAAGATTTTAGAAAATAGATGTAAATGGCATGGAAAGAACAAGAGAAAAATAATTAGAAGTGGAGCCTGAAGATGTGACCAAATTGTATGAATCTCATAATAAAACTTTAACAATTGAGGGGTTGTTCCTTACGGGTGAACAGAGAAAGTGGTATCTTGAGATGCTTACAGATGAGCAAAGAAGTGGTTTCATATTCATCTCCTGGTGAAGATGGTGTGAACATTGTTAAACTGACAACAAATATTTACAATATTACATCAACTTAATTAACTAAGCAGTGGCAGAGTTTGAGAGGATTCACTCCAACTTTAAAAGTAGTTCTACTGTAAGTGAAATGCTATCAAACAACACTGCATGCTACACAGAAAACTTTCACGAAAGGAAGAGCCAGTCGATGCATCAAACTTCATTGCTATTTTACTTACCACAGCTGCCCCAAACTTAAGCAACCAACACCCTGATCAGCCAGCAAGCATCAACATTAAGGCCAGCAGAAAGATTATAACTCATGGGAGGCTTAAATAATTATTAGCACGTTTGTAGCAAATAAGTATTATTAAATTAAGATGTAGTTTTTAGACATTATGTTATTTTACACTTAACAGATGACTTTTATATTCACTGAGAAATAAACAAACAAAAATTATGTAACTCACTGTAGTGCCATGGTCTGGAACCAAACCCGCAATATTTCTGAGGTATGCATACATTTGATAAAGGACTAGAACATTTGTACTGCAAAATAAGGACTAAATCAATGTTAGTTTATAGCTTAATTCAAAGTTACCTTTGTACAGACATATATACTAGAATCTTCAGAAAAACTTGCACTAAAGTCCTTAAACTTTTATCAGCTAAAAGCTATGAAGCATTTGATGATACGTAATTTCTTTATTTAAAATAAATATAATGCAGTCTCAATTTTTTTTTGAGTTATCACTTCTTTACTCTTAGAGTTAATAAAAAATAAAGTGGAGACAATATGCCAAATATCATTGACTTTGATTAGATTTGAAAATACTGTCAAACACTGATCTTTTATTTTCTCAGATCTCACTCATACTTTATCCTTTCTCTCATGGTGAAATAGATTAAGATTTTGATGACATTTCTTCAAATGGAGAACAGATGAAAGCTATTGATCAAATGCACAGAACTACAGATCTAGATGTGCTGGAAGTTGTTATATCTTCAGGTACTTTATTTAACAGTGCCTGATTGTGTTCCAGCTACTTTTATAAGATGTTTACACTTAGCTTCTCGGAAGTTTTGATATTGTCCTGCTATAAATACAGACATGTATACACACTTTGAGATGTATATCAGATGTATGTGCATGTACATGTCTGTAAAAATAATTGTCTTTAAATGTATACATATATTTATATTTTTGCACATATTTATCTATGAGATCTTCCTTAAATACATCACATTTGCTTGGTAAAAGAATAACCTATATTATTAGAATATAATGTGTATAAGTATTCAAACGCTGTTTGGTTATGTGACACAAAATTTGCAAATTGGAAACAACCCTAGTGAAACATAGTGCTTATTCTTCATTTATATGTTCAATTTTATTTTTAATATGTCAAAGACTTTTGTTGCATTCATTATTTTCTAAATTCTGAAATATATTAAAAAGATAAACATTTTAAGTGCAACTTCAGTTTCACAATGTCAAACTGTCTTTGAAAAATAATTCGTTCAAATATCTAGACAAAATAATTTATACAGTAAACTGGGGGTTCTGCCATTTAGTCTCATAGTATTTTTTAAACTGATTTCCTCAACAAAAAATCAAGTCTTGTTTCAGAAAAAGTGAAAAGGGAATTATTGCCCTTGGAAAAAATTAGAATATTTTATTTATTTTGTGTATTGCGTATATTTTTTACTTTATATCCAATTTTAAATAAAACAACATCTAAACAATTTTCTATGATGTGAAAAATTTAGATTTTAAAATCTATACATTTCAGATATTTGACATTGATTTTCTTTCATCTCATCTCGCTTCTGAGTGTGCACATTATTTATATATATTAATATTAAACATGCTTAGCTACTTTTATTATAATCAGGGACATTATGCTGTCTTTTATTATCCTTTAAATAGAAAATACATCAATTTTCTATTATTGAATATTTTGCGAAACAATCTTTGCATCTATGCTAATTAAAATTTTAGAGATGGAGCCAAGATGGCCAAATAGGAACAGCTCCAGTCTACAGCTCCCAGCGTGAGCAACGCAGAAGACAGGTGATTTCTGCATTTCCAACTGAGGTACCAGGTTCATCTCACTGGGAGTGTCAGAAGCTAAAAAACTTGATCTCATGGAGTTAGTGAATAGAATGGTTGTTACCGGAGGCTGGAGACAGAAGTGGGGAGAGATGGATGAAGAGGTATTGGTTAATGGTTACAAAAATAGTTAGATGGAAGGAATAAGGTTTAATGGTTATTCGCACAATAGGACAAACTGCAGGCAAAAATAATTTATTATATATTTTTAATAGCTAGAAATGAAGATTTGAAATATTTCCAACACAAAGAAAGAAATGTTTGATGTGATGGATATTTCAATTACCCAGATTTGATAATTACACATTGACTGCATCTATCAAAATGTCACGTATACCTTACAAATATGTAAAATCATTATGTATCTATAACAACTAAAAATAATTACAAAAGAAAAATAATATTTGGGCTATGTCTTCTAATTTTTATATTCATTGTTATGTGCAAAATACTATTCAAAGAACTACATATTTCTATTCATAACAATTCAACTCTCATATTCACTATATTTTAAGGCCATTTTTAACTATTTCTGAAATTGAAATTATTTTGGCTTTGTGTAGCAATTATTCAATCCATACAGTACTTCAAAGATCATTTATATACCTACACATTTCTTTAATAAATAACTGTTTAGTAACAATATGCAGAAAATGCTGATTTACTTGTAGGGAGATGTAAAGATGAATCAGAGGTCAAAGTCTGCCTTCAAGCAAAGTCTATATTTTAGTGAAGAAATACCATGTATTTGTTCTAAAATCATAAAACAAGACATGTTAAGTGCCATGAAAGCAATGTTAATAAAATTTGAAGTAATTTACTAAATAAATAAATCTAAATAGAAAAACATAATGTAATAATAACTGAAGATACAAAAAATACTTTGACTTTTTGATTAATAATAATTATACACTGACATGAAAGAATACTTTCTTAAGATGAAATACATAAATACGTCCAAAACCCAAAGACAGTTTTACTGTAAATAAGAGTAGAAAAAATAAGCGAGAAGTTTTTCCAGTATCATCAGGAAGTCCACTGGCATCACCATAATTTACAATTGACTCATAGCTGCTATGCAATGCAATTAGACAAAATAAGAAAATGTTTAAAAAATCAAAATGTATTATATGATAAAGACTCACCCTTAGAAGATATAAAATGCAAATGATAACTTGGGAAGAAAAAAACTGCAAAATAAGTTTACAGAAAAAAGCTTCAACTTCCTTAAAATATGAAGACTTTTATAAAAAAATTAAGTACAATAGAAGAATGGAAAAAGAATAAGCTGTTCACAGTAAACAGAATTAATATCTTCTAAACTCTGTAGAATTTTCAATGGTCCTAATAACAAACGAACTGTGAAATAAAACTAAAATTAGATACCATGTTTTCCCATAGTAGCTTGTCAAAAATCAGACAATTTGATGAGGCATGGTTCATGACAATAAGGAGAACAAGTACTCTCATATTTCTGAGAGTAGTGAAAATATATACCACCTTTATGTACAGCAGTTTAATTAATATATCAACATTTGTAATACACATAACTTGATCCATCTTTTAACAACTTTGTTATAGCATATATATGAATTGATGAATGCACACGGATTTTCTCTGTAGTATCTGGTTTATAATAGCAAACAGATGGAAATATTCTGTATACCAAAAATTGCAGGCAAAATAAATAAAATATAGTACATATTTATAGTCGAATTCTATATAGTCCTACATATGTACATGTGTGAAGAGACCTCATTTTAAATCAAATATAACTATAATACTACCTGCAGAACTTATTTTCTTCTTGTTGGGAGGGGAGCAGGGCCATTACAATTGAAATGAGAAGTAAGGCAGTGTTGAAAGTAGTGTATGTCTGTCTAGCACCAGCATAAGTTGGTGTAAAATTAAAATATCAATTTAACACTACATTCGTTAGCTTATGGAATGTCAATTAAACACAAGTTTTAAATTATACTTATCATATTCATTTGCGTGGCAGCTAAGTAGTAATAAGATATTAAAGAAGTTATGTATTTAAGCAGAATGCTTACAAAGGAAAATAACTTCTGCAATCTTACAATAATGATGAATATAATTTAAGGGTCATGTATAGTGCTAAATAGATAAATTTCATACACCATTATTTTATATGTTATTTTGACACATCAATCTTTCATTACTACTCAGTTAATAAATATATCCTGTTGGAGAAAAGAATGATTTTTATCTACACATGTTCTAAAGCTCACACAGGCTATAACTATAATTAAATTATTTTATTTATACTTTTAAATGTTTATACCTATATATGCTACAATTAGACTTAGATGTAATTTTGAAATTTTAAGGACTACATGTACATTTTAGTTAGAAGTTATAGGTATAAATACTTTAAAATCTGCACAATATGTTTAAAACCAATTTATCTCATTTTATTGTTTTTTTAATTTCATGCTTTTATATTTATCTTAGAAAACAAAGAATTGATGTTGTTTACCATGTTTTTTACCCATTATTAGAAAATTGTAAACCAGTTGAGGACACTAAATAGATAGGTAACTTGTTAGTAAATGCTTGGAAAGATGCAGAGGGTATGGACTTCCTTTAAAGCAGTACTTCCACAGGAATATAATGCTAGACAATTAATAATTTTCCAGCACCAGGCCTAAAATTCTCTTTCATTTTTAGAGAGCAAGGTTGCTCATATACCTAGGTTGGCTAGGAACAAAGGATGGAGACACTTAAAAAGATGACTCTTATAAGATAAAAAAATTTTTAGCAGATATATTTAATGTTTTACCCATCCAAAAGATACAGAAAAGAGCAAACCATTTTCTTCCTAAGGTGCCGTAACTTACAGTGGAGCCTTATCTAAAACACCTGTAGGTTGGGGATTCTAGTTTTACTACTATGTAAATATATGACTGGAAATAAGATTCTAGAACAAGAACAATGACTTAAATCAAAAGTAAGCAGATATAAATAAATAATAGAAGTAAGAAGAGACATCAGCCTGGCATGGTGGCTCACGCCTGTAATCCCAACACTTCGGGAGGCCTAGGAGGGCGGATCACCTGAGGTCGGGAGTTCGAGATCAGCCTGACCAAGGTGGAGAAACCCCGTCTCTACTAAAAATACAAAAAATTAGCTAGGCGTGGTGGCGCATGCCTGTAATCCCAGCTACTTGGGAGGCTGAGCCAAGAGAATCGCTTGAACTCGGGAAGCAGAGGTTCTGGTGAGCTGAGATCGTGTCATTGCACTCCAGCCTGGGCAACTACAGTGAAACTCCGTCTCAAAAAAAAAAAAAAATATATATATATATATATATACACACACACACACACGTATATATACGTATATATATATTTGTATATATACATATATATATACAAAATAGGCAAGGGAGCAAAAAACTTTTAAAAAGCCAATAAAACTGATAAAATTCTAGCTAGATAAATTAGACAAAACAGAACAAAAGCATAGGTTATAATTATTAGGAATGAAAATGGGACATCATTGTAGTTCTCTATGCATTAAAGACTTAAATAAAAATAGTATAAACAACTTTAAACAATAAATCGTAAATCTAACATCTTAAACAAAATGGACAAATTCCTTGATAGTCACAAACTACAAAAGCTCAATCAAGAAGAGATATATAACTGGAATAGCCCTATATCTAAGATAAGAAATTAAATTTGTATCCAAAAAAGTCTCAAATGAAAATTGTAGCCACAGATGGCTTGACTGGTGAATTGTGAAAAATGTTAAAGAAGAAATAATACAAATTCTGAACATAGTTCAGAATGTTAACAGAACATAGAAAAAGACATCAGCATTACTCTGACACTAAAACCAGAAGAAGACATTCCAAGAGACAAAAGCAGGAGATACATATCCCTATAGAACACAGATATAAAATCTTTAATACAATTTTATGAAGAGACAATATAATAATCAAGTATGGTTTATCCTAGGAATAAAATTTTTATACCACATTATAAAGTGAATCAATGTAATCAGTTACATTAAACTATTTTTAAATGAAAAATCATGTGATCATCTCAATAGATCCCAGAAAACAAATTTGAAAATATTTCTTACTCACTTGGTTTAATGGCTCTCAGAAAACTAGGAATATAAACAATTTTCTCAACCCGGTAGAAAGTATCTACACTTAATCAGGATTCACATTCTATTCACTGAGAAAGTTTAAAGTAATTTTTCCCTAAGATCTGGAACAAGACAAGTGAGTCTTTTCTCATCATTCCTATTTAATATAATATTGGATGCCCTACCCTATATAACGCAGAGAAAATTCATAAAAATGTTGAAAATCGGCCAGGCGCTGTGGCTCACGCCTGTAATCCCAGCACTTTGGGAGGCCAAGGCGGGTGGATTACCTGAGGTCAGGAGTTTGAGACCAGCCTGGCCAACATGGTGAAACCCCATCTCTACTAAATAAACAAAAATTAGCCAGGTGTGGTGGTACATGCCTGTAATCCCAGCTACTTGGGAGGTTGAGGCAGAAGAATTGTTTGAACCTGGGAGGTGGAGGTTGCAGTGAGCAGAGATCAAACCACTGCACTCTAGCCTGGGCAACAAAGCGAGACTCAGTCACAAAATAAATAAATAAATTATTTTTTTAAAAAAGTTAAAAATTTTTAGACATTTTCAAAATTTACTAGAAGTAGTAAGAGTTTTCAGGACTATATTTAACAAGTAAATATATTTATTTACACTGACAACACCCAATTGGGCATTAATTTTGGAAAAAATTGTGTAATATATCATTAGGATATGAAACATTTAAAGATAAATTTAAGAAATTATATTCAAAAACTATACACTGAACTGAAATTTGCAACCTGTAGACTGAAAATATTACTGTAAAAAATTAATGGTGATTATACTGAAGATGCGAGCATGTCATGGACTCAAAGACATTACAATTGTTATGATAAAATGTGTACTGGTCTATAGATTCAAGACAATTTCAATTACTATTCTAACAGAAGGCTTTCTAAAAAGAAATTTGATTCTGAAATGTATATTAAAAAGCCAGGGAATTAGAATAAGCAAAATAATTGTGAAAAATAAGATAATAGATAACTTACATTTACCTTACTGCTGTAGTTAGAAAGACAGACTTATATTTGTATAAAATAAACATACAGATTAGTGGAACAAAGTAACAAGACTAACACGTATGATACACTGATTTTTGACAAAGCTGACAAGTGGATTCAATAAGAACAATATAGTTTTTAAATGCATGGTGTATTCAGGGATTCAGCTTCTTCCTGGTTTAATCTTGGGAGGGTGTATGTGTCCAGGAATTTATGCATTTCTTCTAAATTTTATAGTTTATTTGCATAGAGGTGTTTATAATATTATCTGATTTTTTTTCCCTTGGGCTCAGTGGTGATATCCCCTTTATCATTCTTTACTGTGTCTATTTGATTCTTTTCTCTTTACTTCTTTATTAGTCTGGCTAGCAGTCTATTTTGTTAGGCTTTTCAAAAAAACAGCTCCTGGATTCATTTATTTTTTGATGGGTTTTCTTGTCTCTATCTCCTTCAGTTCTGCTCTGATCTTAGTTATTTCTTGTCTTCTGCTAGCTTTTGAATTTGTTTGCCCTTGCTTCTCTAGTTCTTTTAATTGTGATATTAGGGTGTTGATTTCAGATCTTTCCTGCTTTCTGACGTGGGCCTTTAGTGCTATAAGTTTCCCTCTTAACACTGCTTTAGCTGTGTCCCAGAGATTCTGGTACATTGTGTCTTTCTTCTCATTGGTTTCAAAGAACATATTTATTTCTGCCTTAATTTTGTTATTTACCCAGTAGTCATACAGGAGCAGGTTGTTCAGTTTCCATGCCTGAAATTGGAACAGTATTAATAGCCTACCAACCAAGAAAATGCCCAAGACCAGTTGAATTCACAGCCGATTTCTACCAGGGATACAAAGAGGAGCTGGTATCATTCTTTCTAAAATTATTCCAAACAATAGAAAAAGACGGACTCCCCCCTTACTTGTTTTAAGAGGCCAGCATCATCATGATACCAAAACCTGACAGAGACACAACAACAACAAAATGTCAGGCCAATATCCTTAATGAATATCAATGCAAAAAATTCTCAATAAAATACTGGCAAAATGAATCAAGCAGCACATCAAAAAACTTATTCACCACGATCAGGTAGGCTTCATCCTTGGGGTGCAAGGCTGGTTCAACATATGCAAACTGAATAATGTAATCCATCACATAAACAGAACCAATGACAAAAACCACATGATTATCTCAATAAATAAAGAAAAGGCCTTTGATACAATTCAACAGCCCTTCATGCTAAAAACACTCAACGAACTAGGTATTGATAGAATATATCTCAAAATATTAAGAGCTATATATGACAAACCATAGCCAATATCATACTGAATGGGTCAAAGCTGGAAGCAATCCCTTTGAAAACTGGCACAAGACAAGGATGCCCTCTCTCACCACTCCTATTTAACATGGAATTGGAAGTTCTGACCAGGGCAATCAGGCAGGAGAAAGAAATAAAGGATATTCAGTCAGGAAGAGAGGAAGTCAAATTTTCTCTGTTTGCAGATAACATGATTGTATATTTGAAAAACCCCATTGTCTCAGCCCAAAAATTCCTTAGGTTGATAAGCAACTTCAGCAAAGTCTCAGGATACAAAATCAATGTTCAAAAATCACAAGCATTCCTATACACCAATAATAGAGAGCCAAATCATGAGTGAACTCCCATTCACAATTGCTACAAAGAAAATAAAGTACCTTGGTATACAAATTACAAAGCACTTGAAGGACCTATTCAAGGAGAACTACAAACCACTCCTCAAAGAAATAAAAGAGGACACAAACAAATGGAAAAACATTCCATGCTCATGGATAGGAAGAGTCAATATCATGAAAATGGCCAGACTGCCCAAAATAATTTATAGATTCAATGTTATATCTATCAAGCTACCATTGACTGTTTTCACAGAACTAGAAAAAACTACTTTAAATTGCATATGGGACCAAAAAAAGAGCCCATATAGCCAAGACAAACCTAAGCAAAAAGAACAAAGCTGGAGACATCACACTACCTGACTTCAAACTATACTACAAGGCTACAGTAACCAAAACAGCATGGTACTGGTACCAAAACAGACATATATACCAATGGAACAGAAGAGAGGCCTCAGAAATAACACCACATATCCACAGCCATCTGATCTTTGACAAGCCTTACAAAAACAAGCAATGTGAAAGGATTCCCTATTTAATAAATGGTGCTGGGAAAAATGGCTACCATATGCAGAAAACTGACACTGGACCCCTTCCCTACACCTTATAAAAAAATTAACTCAAGGTGGATTAAAGACTTAAATGTATATCCTAAAACCATAAAAACCCTAGAAGAAAACCTAGGCAATACCGTTCAGGACATAGGCATGGGCAAAGACTTTATGACTAAAACACCAAAAGCAATGGCAACAAAAGCCAAAATTGATAAATGGGATCTAATTAAGCTAAAGATCTTCTGCACAGAAAAAGGAACTATCGTCAGAGTGAACAGGCAACCTACAAAATGGGAGAATATTTTTGCAATCTATCCATCTGTCAAAGGTCTAATATCCAGAATCTACAAGGAACATAAACACATTTAAAAGGAAAAAAGAAAACCCCATTAAAAGTAGGTGAAGGCTATGAACAGACACTCCTCAAAAGAAGGCATTTATGTGGTCAACAAACATATGAAAAAAAGCTTATCATCACTAGTCATTAGAGAAATGCAAATCAAAACCACAGTGAGATACCATCTCACACCAGTTGGGGACACCTTCCCTACCAGCCTGAAGCATGAAACATCAAGCCAGCAAATGAAATACTGGGGGAAGAGAAAGAAATAAATAAGTGCATGCCACAGGGAAACAAGATAAGCTTTAAGAGACCTCTACCATTCCAACCCCATAAGAGACAGTGAACTTATTTACACACTGAACACATTTCTACAACAACCAGCATATGAAAAAACTATCATACAAAGACTCTCAATAACCAAGGAACTCTTACAGAGTCTTCATCCCTGAAAGCACCAAGTACTGAATTAGGCTATAATTAACTATAAACTAATATTAGTGTCTCATCTTTAAGGAAAAAAAAATACAAAGCAAACAACAACAAAAAAAGAAACACAGGCAAATCATACATAAGTTCAATAATAATTAGAAGAAATAGTCTACTCAAATGAGAGGGAACCAGAAAATTAACTCTGGTAATATGACAAAACAGGACTCTAATAACACCCTCAAAAGATCACACTAGCTCTCCAGCAATGGATCCAAGCAAAGATAAAATCTTTGAAATACCAGATAAGGAATTCAGACAGTTGATTACTAAGCTACTCAAAGAGATATCAGAGAAAGGTAAAAATGGAAACTGTATAAGGAAATTTTTAAAAGAAGCTCAGGATATGAATAAAAAATTTTCTAGAGAAGTTGATATAATCAAGAAAAAACAATCAGGAGTTCTCTAAATGAAAGATACACTTAAGGAATTACTAAATACAGTGGAAAGCTTGAATAATACATTAGAACAAGTAAAAGAAAGAATCTCAGAGCTTGAGGACAAAGTTTTTTTAATTAACCCAATCAGACAAAAATAAAGAAAAAAGAATTTTAAAAAAGTCTCCAAGAAATAAGGGATTATGTAAAATGGCCAAACTTAAGAATAATTGTTGTTTCTTAGGGAGAAGAGAAAATATTTATGGAAAACTTATTTAAGGAAATAATTGAGGAAATCTTTCCTGGCCTGTCTAGAGATCTGGATAACCAAATCCAAGAAGTTCAAAGAATTCCTGGAAAATTCATTGCAAAAACGTCTTCAAAAAAGGCATACAGTTATCAGGCTATCTAAAGTCAACATAAAGAAATAAATTTCAAGAGTAGAAGCCGAAAACATCAGGTAAATTCCAAAGGAAAACCTAACAAACAGCAGAGTTCTCAGCAGAAACCTTACAAGCTAGAAGGGATTGAGATCCTAACTTCAACAACCATAAAGAGAACAACTGTCAGCCAAGAATTTTGAATCCTGCAGAAACAAATTTCATAAATGTAAGAGAAATAAAGTGATTTTCAGACAAACAGATGCTGAAGGAATTTGTCACTATCAAAGTAGCACTACAAGAAATGCTAAGAGAAATTCTAAACCTTGAAACAAAAGTCCAAAATCCACCAAAATAGAAACTCTTGAAAGCTTAAAGCTCACAGAGCCTATATAACAGTAACATAATGAAAAATAATCTATCTAGGTAACAACTAACATGATGAAGAGAAAAATACCTCATATCTCAATATTAACATTTAATGTAAATGAGGTAAATGCTCCACTTAAAATATACAGAATGGGCGGGGCACAGTGGCTTATGCCTTGTAATCCCAACAGTTTGGGAAGCCAAGGCAGGTGGATCACCAGGTCAGGAGATTGAGACCAGCCTGGCTAACATGGTGAAACCCCATTTCTACTAAAAATACAAAAATTAGCCAGGTGTGGTGGAGCGTGCCTGTAATCCCAGCTACTCAGTAAGCTGAGGTAGGAGAATCACTTGAACCTGGGAGGCAGAGGTTGCAGTGAGCCAAGATCGTGCCACTACACTCCAGCCTGGGTGACAGAGGGAGACTCCCTCTCAAAAAAAAAATAGTAATAATAATTTAAAAAAAATATATATATATATACACACACACACATATGTATACATATACATATGTATGTATACAGAATGGTAGAACTGGTACACAATCACAATCCAATCCAAATACCTGCTG
Organism: Homo sapiens; assembly: GCF_000001405.40. Classification (NCBI taxonomy): domain Eukaryota; kingdom Metazoa; phylum Chordata; class Mammalia; order Primates; family Hominidae; genus Homo; species Homo sapiens. The sequence goes on along the minus strand of NC_000003.12, from coordinate 166,393,165 downwards.
TCTTGAAGAGACTCACCTAACATGGGAGGATTTATATAAACTCAAGGGAAGAGCATGGAAAAAGATACTTTGTGCAAATGGATACCAAAATGGAGCAGAAGTAGCTATTCTTATATCAGACAAAATAGACTTCAAAGAAACAAAAGCAAAGGAAAAAAAAAGATGGCTACTATATAATGATAAAAGGATCAATCCAACAAAAAGATATTATAATCCTAAATTTATATGCACCAAACACTGGAGCTTCCAGATTCATAAAAAAAAATACTACTAGACCTAAGAAATAAGATAGACAACAAAACAAAAACAGTGGGAGACTTCAATACACCACTGACAACACTCACTAGACAGATCTTTGAGACATAATGTTAACAGAGGATCAATGAATTCAAATGACATGCTAGAACAAATGAACTTAACAGATATTTACAGAACATTTTACCAAAGAACTGCAGAATATATAGTCTTCTCATCAGCACATGAAACATACTCCAAGACAGACAATATGAGAGGCCACAAAATCAGTCTCCATAAATTTTAAAAAATCAAAATCTTATCATGTATCTTCTCAGATCACTGCAGAATAAAAATAGAAATCAACCCCAAAATGAACTCTCAAAACTATACAAATAAATGGAAATTAAATAATCTCCTGAATGATAGCTGGCTTAAAAATAAAATCAAACTGGAAATTTAAAAAAATCCGTTGAATTGAATGACAATAATAATACAAGTTATCGAAACCTCTGGGATACAACAAAAACGCAGGGCTAAGAGGAAAGTTTATAGTACTAAACACCTACATCAAAAAGTCTGAAGGAGCACAAATTGATAACCTAATATTTACCTCAAGGAACGGGAGAAACAAGAATAAACTAAACCTAAAGCTAGAAGAAGAAAATAAATAACAATGATTAGAGCAGAAATAAATATAATGCAAACATAAAAAAAAATACAAAAATCGATGAAACAAAGCTGGCTCTTTGAAAAAATGAACAAAATTGATAGTCCATTAGCTAGATTAACCAAGAAGAGAGAAGATGAGAAGATCCAAATAAGCTCAATTAGAAATGAAACTAGAGACATTACAACCAACACCACAGAAATACCAAAGATGATTTGAGACTCCTATGAACACCTTTAGACTCACAAACTAGAACACCTAGAGAAAATGAATAAGTTGCTAGAAACATACAACTCTCCCACATTAAATCAGGAAGAAATAGAAACCTTGAACAGATCAGTAACAAGCAGTGAGATTGAATCAGCAATTTAAAAATTGCCAAAAAACGCCAAGAACAAGATGGATTCACAGCTGAATTCTACCAGACATTCAAAGAATAACCGGCACCAATCTTACTGAAACTATTCCAAAAGATTGAGAAAGAGGAAATCCTCCCTAAATTATTCTGTGAAGTTAGTATCACCCCAATACCAAAACCAGGACAGAGCACAACAACAACAACAACAACAACAACAACAACAACAACAAAAACAAAAAACCTACAGACCAATTTTCCTGATGAGCATAGATGCAACAATCCTCAATAAAATACTAGCTAACTGAATTCAACAGCACATTGAAAAGATAATCCATCATGATCAAGTGGGTTTTATCCCAGAGGTGTAGGGATGGTTTAACATACACATGTCAACAAATGTGATACATCCCATAAACAGAATTAAAAACAAAAACCATATTATTTAAACAGATGCAGAAAAAGCATTTCACATAATTGAGAATCACTTTATAGTAAAAACTCTCAACAAAGTATGCATAAAGAGGGCCTACCTCAAAATAATAAAAACCACATAATGTTACACACCTACAGCTAACAATCATACTTACACGCCTACAGCTAACATCATATTTAATGTGGAAATGAAACTATAAGAATTCTAGAAGACAATATTGGAAAAACTTTTTTAGAAATCAGCCTAGGCAAATAATTTGTGACAAATTCCAAAAGCAAATAAAGAAAAAATAAATATATGGGACCTAATTAAAATTAAAAACTTCTGCACAGCAAAAGAAATAATCAGGAGAGTAAACAGACAACCACAGAATGGGAGAAAATATTTGCAAATTATGCATGCAACAAAGGACTGGTATCCAGAATCTATAGGGAACTTAAATAAATCAGCAAGGAAAAAACAAACAATCCCATTAAAAAGTGAGTAAAGGACATGAATAGGCATTACTCAAATGAAGACATACAAGTAGCCAACAAACACCTGAAAAAATGCTCAACCTCACTAATCATTAGGGAAAGGCAAATTAAAACCACAATGAGATATTACCTTACTCTTGTAAGAATAGCTATTATTAAAAAGTTAAAAAACAATAAATGTCTGCTGTGGATGTAGGGGAAAAGGAACACATATACACTGCTGGTGGAAATGTAAATTAGTACAACCACTATGAAAAACAATATGGAGATTCCTTAAAGAGCTAAAAGTAGATGTACCATTTGATCCAGTAATCCCACTCCTGGGTATCCACCCAAAGGAAAAGAAGTTGTTATATGAAAATGGCCTCCAAGAAAATGTTCTTATCCTTGTAAAATAATTAAGCACTAATATGTATATAGTATACACTAGTATTTACAGAGTAATATAATTATTATTCATAATATACACTAAAATTTAATGAGTCATCCTTTAAAATTGGAAACTATGATTAACATGTCAAAGTATTGTCTGCTTAAGTTAAAACTGACAAAACAGAAATTTTAACAGCAGTTTTTCAAATGTCTTAGTTAGGGATTATGTTTTTAAAATGGTAATGACATTAGGGTTCACAAGGCATAACTGCCCTTATTCTGCCTTTCTTTCAAATTCAGGAAACCCTGAAAGTGTTATTAAAGCTTACTAGCTCAGAGAAGAATTTCATCACTTTGGTTTTCCTTTAAAAGTTGCAGAAAAGTCATTTATTTTTATTATGTATCTGATGTTGCATCACTCAGAGATGTTCCTTTCCTGTTTCTTTTACTTTAGGAAACTGAATGTACAAATAGGTATATATCACGATAATGCCCAGCAATGCACTTTTTCTCAATGAATTCAGACTTCCAACAACAGATTCAAAAACAGAAGTACTTTTTATTAGCTTATATGCTTCTAATATTTTAAAATACCTTTAAAAAAGAGATAAAAACAATTTATTAATATTTTCTATTTCTTTGCTTACATTTTACATCGGATTTTATGTGTCGCCATCAGATCTTATGTGCTGAAATAGATACTAAAACATTCTTCAATTTGATCTTGTGTTTTTGTTTTTGGAAGAGGGAGAGGCAGGATAGAGAAATGGAGAAGGAAAGGAAGGGGGCAGGGGGAAAGAAGAGACACAAACAATTTAGAATTCACTTCTTTAAGAAGTATCCTCGACTGGGCGCTGTGGCTCATGCCTGTAATCCCAGCAATTTGAGAGGCTGAGGTGGGTGGATCACCTGAGGTCAGGAGTTCGAGACCAGCCTGACCAATATGGTGAAACCCCGTATCTATTAAAAATACAAACATTAGCCAGGAGTGGTGGCCTGCACCTGTTGTCCCAGCTATTCAGGAGGCTGAGGCAGGAGAATTGCTGGAACCCAGGAGGCAGAGGTTGTAGTGAGCCAAGATTGTGCCACTGCACTCCAGCCTGAGCAACAGAGCAACACACCATCTCAAAAAAAAAAAAAAATTAAAAAAAAAAAAGAATTATCGTCTACAAATCAAATTTGCACTGAAATTCATGAAACATTTGCATTTTTTATTTTATTTTATTTATTTATTTTGAGACAAGGTCTTGCTTTGTTGCCCAGTCTGGAGCGCAGTGGCACAATCACAGCTCATTGCAGCCTCAACCTCCTTAGTAGCTGGGACCACAGGTGCACACCACGACAATAGCTAATCTATTTTTAATTTAATTTAATTTTTTTTTTTGGAGAGAAAGGGAGATCTCACTATGATGCCCAGTCTGGTCTTGAACTCCTGGGCTCAAGCAACTCTCCTGCCTGGGCCTCCAAAGTGCTAGGATTACAGGCTTGAGTTACCATACCCCAAGTTTGCATCTTTGAAATGATTGCTTTTCCATGTGGGTATCTCTAATAGATCACAGAGAACATGTTATGTCATTCTGCCAACTTTAAATGTTTTATACCAACGAACAATATTCTCTCTGTTTTTAAATGTTATTTTTCTCTTCTCCACCATCTTGTTTTACGTTTTGTTTGGTTTGGTTTGATTTGGTTAATTATGAAAGAGACAGAAGAGTTATAATATAGCCATACTTAAATATACTGCTAACAGACTACATCACATTAGTTACCACTGTTAAATTTCTGCAGATATTATTTTTTAAAGAATTATTTAAGATGTAGTTATTCTGCATAGTGTCAACTATGCAGTATTTTCTTTAAAAAAGCCCAAAACCCAGTCAATAAAAATTATAACAAATTTCAGCTATATTTTTTTGTCATTATATTACCTTTCCCAGAAAAGAAAAAGTATCATCAAGCTGCAAGAATTTCAGGTCATTATCTAGTCTAATACTCACTATAGCAAGAATGCAACTGAGGGTCAGGGAACTTAAGGCACTTGCTCAAGATTATACAGTAAGTGGGCAAGTTTTTCGCAACAACAAAGCAGGGCTGCATGTAGAACTGTTCAAGCCTCTTTTCCCTTTCTGCTGACTCACTAGTTTTTCACATAAGGTCATGAATAAGTTAATTTTGTAAATTTTGTTATTTTGCCTAATCGTAGGTATGAGAAATGAGTGGAAAATAAGCAAAAACAGAAAACAATGCATATTCCTCATTGTTAATAGTGATTTTTTTAAAAACACTGAAGACCAATTGTATTATCCAACTGTACTGGGTTCTTTAAAAAGTGAAATATTCTTGTCAAGTTAATAACACAAAATTATAGCAATCTATTTAGGCATACATAAAAACTAATTAGAAAACAAAATTCATGGATTAATGATAAAATGACTATATTCAAATGACATTTTAACATAAATACACATGTAATTAGAAATCATCATCTGATTAGAAAACATAAAGGTAAATCATTATTTCTAATTATCTAGTAGCAGTAAAAAGAACAAATGTTGGGATCACTTAAAAATAATGGTAAAAATCTCCTGCAATAGACATATCCTTTAAAATGCATATATTGCAACTTTAAACTTTTTACTAATCACCAACAGTAAATCCAGATTAATAAAAAACCTTGTTTTGTCTTATTTTAAAAGTCCCTACATAAAATAACGACTAATTTAGAAATAATACCTATAAAATATAGCAAGTTCTTAATATTCAAGCTTTGGGGGAATTTCTCAGCTGTGTTCTACTGCCTTCTAAGTGAGTCACAGTTCTCTTCACTCTTCCAGGCTTATTGCAATAGACACAATGTACTTAAGATGAAATCCCCTTATTTAGTTTTGTCATCATAAAAATTTTAAATCCACTTGAGTAATAGAATCAAATAAGACACACACACACCCATATTTTATCAGTTCAGAGAAATTTGATTTGCTTGTAATGGTGTTCACAGAATAGTAAAATATACAAATTAAACTAGAGTTCATCACGTGTGGCATGTATATAAAAAGTAAAATTATACCAATGACGTATCAGCTGCTAACAGCATCCATCAAATTTCATTTGAAAAAATGATAATTGCTAGCATAGAACAGATGCTGTATTATGACTAACAGTAGTGCCTGGTTGCTCATTTATATCCAAACCCATGACCCAGAGATAATGGCAAGTTATTCTCTGCTCCTCACTTTGCGTATTTCAGAAGAGACACTGGAAACTTCTCATTGCTGATTTGAAGTATTGACGCCTCCTTTGAACTACTGTCAGTGCCTGAATTAAACATTTTTTCTTTATTTAGATACAGATACTTTTTTACTCATATTCTTTAAGAAATTGCTTTTCCAAAGTTTCTGATTCTGCAACAGATAAAAACCAACCAACCAAGCAACCAACCAAAACCAACAAATAAACGAAAAGCATTTAAAATCATTTCGTCATAATTAGCTGTATGTCCTTGTGCCACAATATGATTTCAAAATCCTCTATTAAAAATTCCTCACTTAGGCCGGGCGTGGTGGCTCACGCCTGTATCCCAGCACTTTGGGAAGCCAAGGCAAGCGAATCATGAGGTCAGGAGTTCGAGACCAGCCTGGACAACATGGTGAAACCCCATCTCTACTAAAAACACAAAAAATTAGCTGGGCATAGTGGTGGGCACCTGTAATCACAGCTACTCAGGAGGCTGAGTCAGGAGAATCGCTTGAACCTGGGAGGCGGAGGTTGCAGTGAGCTGAGATCGCACCACTGCACTCCAGCCTGGGTGACAGAGTGAGACTCTGCCTCAAAAAAAATTTTTTAAATTAAAAAAAAAATAAAATTAAATAAATTCCCCACTTAAAGCAGAGGTGAGGACTGAATTTATTCACATTCAAATTGTCTAGGTATTTTGGGGTGAAGTAATGAACATTTTCTACATAATTAATAATATATTTCACATGGTACTGGCCTTCAGAATAAGTCTCCTATGACATAGTTATTTAGTCTTATAGATTATCATAATTATTTTATCTTATTGGTATGGTCTTAATATAGATAAAGCTTTTAAATTCAGAATCCTTTCACAAGAATATATCCCTAAGAAGAATGCTTGCTTCATGAAGGAAGAGAGGGCATTTATTATATTAATAATATTTTTAGTCAGTATCACAATTTTCTTTAATGGAATAAAAACAGCACCAATATCACGTTTGCTATAATAATTAAGTGGACTGAAATGTGTAAACCGTCAGAGCAGTGTATTACACAGAGTGAAAGTGAATAAATGTTAACTAATTACCTCATATCCATTAGAAGCAATCTAGTAGCTGCAGTCTAAAATCAAGGACAGGTCTATGACCTAAGCTAGATTACCCACATATTCTCTCTGAAATTTGAAATTTAAGTGGCTCCTCAAATCCATTTTGTACATAACAAGAATAAAACCAGAGATAACTTTTAAAAGGTAACTGTGGTTGTCTAGGCAATAGATTGGGTGTATTTTATTCCTTAGAGAAAGGAATAAAAAAAAGTCACACAGTTTAGGATAAATCCAACAGGGTTGTAACAGGAGACCTAAGTGTTGGAGTGTTAGTATCACTGAAGCTCACTTGTTTTATAATGACCTCAAGTTCTTTAATCTCTAAATTGAGGTTTACAACAAGATTTCTTGAAGGTTTCTTTAAGTCCAGTGGTATTATATTTTACTCCCATAGCACTTTAAAGTAGCAATAAAAGATGAAAATTTCTTGAGAATGTATATTTATTTTCAAATTTCAATTGCAAAATTTTCTCTGTTAGATGTAACACTTAGAACTCCACTTGGCATGCTGTGATATTTGAAGAAAAAGATAAAATGTTTCCTAAAAATTACTTGAATGTTAGAAGCCATTGTTAGAATGAGCACAGTACCATTGAATACATCAACTAAGAATGGATGGTTGAATTAATATATGGTTTTAAAAATTCTGGCTGCCTAAACAATCAAGTCAAAATGGGTATATATCTTTATTTTCTATTACAATGTAATATATAGAACATATATATGTAATTATTTTATACTGATGAGCTTACATTTTGCATTTATTATTAAGGTCAGAAATAGCAACTAAAGTATCTTTCAAGTTCCTCTTGTGGTTTTGTACGAGTCAGAGAGAGAGAAATAAGCGAGAAGGGAGGAGAAAAGAAATGTTTTGGAAACTATAAGTGCAAACATTATTTAAAAATATGTTTCTTATTTTAATTGCTATGCCAAGGTCTTAGAAAGAATGTAATGCAGAAGACAGGTGAAAATATTGCATATTTAAAGGGTTTATATAGTGCACATTCTGGTAATTCAAGACACGAGACCTGTTAAACTTTAAATCAAAGTGAAAGACTTATCTTTTTGAACAGCCTAAATCTGTTGGAACAGAATTTTATTTGGTTCTTTTAACATATCACGTTTGTGTAGTCTTGCTTTCTTCATAAATTTTAATTACTTAATATTTTGTGTAGGTGAATATTTATGTTTTCCTAGTTATAGTGACTTGATTTAATTACAGAATAAAAGTTAAACATTTCCAATTCTAATTGGAAAGAAAAGGTGCATTGCATATCATAGATCAAATAATTTGAAATATATAAATTTTGCTTAAATAGCTAGGAAAATATCAGTCCATTGGACACAGGAAGATTTTGGAGTTTCCTGATTAAAATGTTTTACTCTCTAAAAATAATCAGCTTATTTCTGGGAATCTTGGCAAATATATCCAGAACCTTAACCTACTAAATGGATTGAGAAATTTTTACAGAACTTAAATCATTTAAACTTTGATTTGCATCAATACCTGGGAATCTTATTAAAAATACAGATGACAGAAACTCTGTTCCAAGAGACAGAATCACAATCTCTTTGTCAAAATTAAGATAATAGTAGAACAATCTCATAAGATTACTGTACAAAATAAGAGGTAATTCAAATAAATTTCTTTTCCCCAACTGAACCCTCAATATGTTAGCTGTACTATTAATGGTTGCTTTTATTACTATTAATATTGATGCACGCTAAAATTTTAGAACCATATGTTTACCTATTTTCTATTGTTCTTTAATAATAATAGGAATGAAAATAATAATTCAGAACCAATAATACTTCAAATGCATGTGTTTCTTTTTTCTTTGTTTTTCTAAGTTATTTCAGGTCATTGATAGATGATCCTAGTCAAAAAGGAAAAACATCTGCAATATGATGTATTTTGTTTTTCGATTAGCAAAAGCTGTTGATCACTTATAGAAATTGTGTTTATAGATCTGTATTTCAAAATTTGAACATGATTTATCTAGGTTTATATTATTAGATACTTCTGAAAAAGACTAGAAAGAAATTAGAAACTGAATTTCAGAATTTTCTAAAATATTTATAAAATCTTTCTTAGTGTTTGCATTTTTAATGATCAGTGCAAAATTACTATTATTTTTATTCTCATATGTGAGTGAAATTGTTTTCTTATTTTATAGAATAATATTTTTCTCATAAAATTTCTAGGACTTACAGCTGAGAGTAGCTTGATGAAAAGGATTTCTCTTATTTTTCAAAAATACTCTAGCTGGCATCTCTAAACTGACATAAAATTGTCATATGTGTTATTTTTCCTTTTACAAAGACTGGCCGTGTGTTAACTATGTGTTTTAGATATTATCAGAAAAAAATATTGATTAGTTCTTCAATTAACAGACCAAGAGAATAATCTCAGTTGAAGTCCTAAATATTTAAATAATAACAGTGTTTGTATTTGTGTATATCCAGTTCTCTTTTTAAAACTAAGAATTTCTGGACAGGCGCAGTGGCTCACGCCTGTAATCACAGCACTTTGGGAGGCCTAGGTGGGTGGATCACGAGGTCAAGAGATCGAGACCATCCTGGCTAACGCGGTGAAACCCCGTCTCTACTAAAAATACAAAAAAATTAGCCAGGCGTGGTGGCGGGTGCCTGTAGTCCCAGCTACTCGGGAGGCTGAGGCAGGAGAATGGCGTGAACCTGGGAGGCGGAGCTTGCAGTGAGCCAAAATCGCGCCACTGCACTCCAGCCTGGGCGACAGAGCAAGACTCTGTCTCAAAAAAACAAATAAATAAAAATAAAAAAATAAAAAAGTAAACAAAGAATTTCTTCATCTCATCTTCTACTTGAGATTTATTTATCATTTCTTTCTATCTCAGTTCCTTGTTATTGCAAAAATTACTTTGGAGTAAGAAATGTTAAATAGACGGACATGAAATCTGGACTTACCTAAGTTTTTAAAGTGTTAACTCCTAGCTTCTGGCTATATAATTAAACTACATGTAGTCATGATCAATGAAGCATAGCCACAAGCCTTTCCATGGTGTTCCATAGAAACTTCTTTTTCTTATCCTTTTATCATTTTAAAAAAGTAAAAAAAAAAATTGTTGAATACTTACTCTTTCATCGAACCAACTACTTTATGGCTCATTTAACCATATTATAAAACAGAAAATCATGTATTACAGGAGACATTTAAACATAGAAATTTTATAGAGCTACCAAATTTCACAAAACTTAGAGGCGGCTAGAATCCTACTTCATGTTAACTGATTCTAAAGCCTTAATTTTTCAATTTCAGTGAGTTACTGACTCGTTTTTATCCCTCCATGTTAAAATTCTTTACTAGACCTCATATAGGTTTCAGTACTTTAATCTGACTCCAGCATTATTTACAGGTGGCTGATACACAGTACATTAACATAACAGAGGGAAAGCTTGTTCCACATTTTTTTTAATTTTTTATATATATTTTTTATTATACTTTAAGTTTTAGGGTACATGTGCACAACGTGCAGGTTTGTTACATATGTATACATGTGCCATGTTGGTGTGCTGCACTCATTAAAAAATGCTCATCGTCACTGGCCATCAGAGAGATGCAAATCCAAACCACAATGAGATATCATCTCACACCAGTTAGAATGGCGATCATTAAAAAGTCAGGAAACAACAGGTGCTGGAGAGGAGAAATAGGAACACTTTTACACTGTTGGTGGGACTGTAAACTAGTTCAACCATTGTGGAAGACAGTGTGGCGATTCCTCAGGGATCTAGAACTAGAAATACCATTTGACCCAGCCATCCCATTACTGGGTATATACCCAAAGGAATATAAATCATGCTGCTATAAAGACACATGCACATGTATGTTTATTGGGGCATATTTTTTATAGACAAAATTTTCTTTCTTCTCCCAGTATTTGCTGCTGCATGGTATCTTCAAACACTCAAATACTAAGCAAACAGCCAACGTTTTCTTTTTTTTTCTTTTATCTTTTATCTTTTTTTTTTTTTTTTTTTTGAGATGGAGTCTTGCTCTGTCACACAGGCTGGAGCATAGTGGCGCGATCTCGGCTCACTGCAACCTCCACCTCCCAGGTTCAAGCAATTCTCCTGCCTCCTGCCTCAGCCTCCAGAGTAGCTGGGATTACAGGCATGTGCCACCATGCCCGGCTAATTTTCCACCACGCCCAGCTAATTTCCCACCATGCCCAGCTAATTTTTGTATTCTTAGTAGGGATGGGTTTTCACCATGTTGACCAGGCTGGTCTCAAGCTCTTGACCTCGTGATCTGCCCACCTCAGCCTCCCAAAGTATTGGTATTACAGCCATGAGCTACCGTGCCTGGTCAAGTTTTCATATCCTAATTCCCCCTTTACATTTCATTCAGTGCACTCTGTCTAAGTCGTATCCTCTCTTGTTACATATCTGTTTTGGAACCTTCTTCCAGACTGCTCCTCATTGATTCCTTTCCCCATACTCCACCACTCACATTGAACACACTGATAACAATTAGTCCAGAACTGCTTGTTATTTTTTGACCTTTATAAAGGCCTAGTCCTTCCATTTATTTGTTTTGACTGTGTGCTTTAAAATATTGTTTTCCTGCTGGAAGGTCATAAGTCGATTCTGATTTGATAACTCAGAATTTTTCCTCTGAATTTTGTAACTCAATGAACTTTTGACAATTGCAGTTCATCAAATATGTGCAAATGCTTCTTGACTTAAGAAGCTATTTCTATATCCATTTTTAATTTTATACTGAAATGTAGTCATGCTTGGGAATAATTTTGAAAATCATTACATCTGCCTAATTTTTACTAAGAACGGTTTGCATTGAATTCTTCCTATCCCCTTTCACATTGCCATGTTTCAACCTCTCCTATCTTTTATATAGACTGCTTTACAAAACTAAAGATCTGAATAAGTAAACTGACTCATAACCAAAGGGTTAAAATGTTCTTCATCCATCGAAGGTATCATTTGATTTCAAATTTCCAATGATACTGAATTTGTGGGGAAAAATCAGTTCAGAATGTTAAACATTGGCAATGTCCTTCTACCTGTTTCAGACATAAAAATGTTGGACAATTTAGTGCACTCAGGATTTTAACACTTTGCATTAGGTTGGACTCTATGAAACTTCCACTTTTATAGGTCAAAAGCAGTTCAATATCAGCTATTTCATATGTTTCAACCTGTATGACCTAATTCTAATGTCTTAATCTCTTTCTCCATCTACAACTTCACTTCAGGCACAACATTAAATGCCTAATGTCAGCTCTATAAGTTTATCTGGAAGTCCTGGAGGCACTGCATTAATTTATTTTAAAGCACAACAAATTATCACATATTTAAGGTCTTAAAACAATACTCAATTGTTATATCACAGTTCTGTAGGACAAAAGTCATGGCTGACTCTTTTGGGATTCCCATGTAAGATTCTCATAAAGCCATAATGAAAATAATTATTTGGGCTGGAATTCTACGTGGTGCACCTAGGGAAGAATTTGCTTCCAAGCTCATTTGTGATGTTGGCAGAATACAATTTCTTCTACTAGATTACTTTCTAGAGATCTATCTAGAGATCTCATCTACTGGATTACTTTCAGTAGAACCTTAACCTCTAGAGTCTGCCCATATTCGTGTCACATAACCACCTTCCTTTTTAAGCTAGCATCAAATTTGTATGCTTCAAATATCTTTGACTTCCCTCTTACCAATATCAGGAGTAAACTCTCTTCTTTTAAAGAGCTACATGATTAAAGCAGACCCACTCAGATAATCTTTTTAAACTATATAATATAACTAAATCATGGGAGTGAGGTCATATGATATTCGCAGGTTCCAAAAACATTCAAAAGAAAGGGGTTTTAAAACAGTGAGAGTCATTGGGTTCATTCTTAGAAGTTAATCTACCACAGCACTTGGCAATCAATATGTACAAAAGTGACATATTTACATCATCATCAATTCTATTGTTCCACACTTCCCTTAAGTTGGTAATATTATTATCAGACTTAATGACAGAATTATGGAAGTGAATCCTGACTGCTTCAACACTGTTTCCTGATTTTGATCAAGCCTTCACATTTACTATATCCTACACGCTTACTAGATATTGCGTAGAGCCATCCTCTTCTCTTCATTGTCACTGCTATTGCAATAATTCTGGCCCTCATCATTTATCCACCATATGATACCCCAACATATATTTACATTACTGCCAGAATAATGATCATGACACATCTCTCTTATAAGTGACAATGTAATGGTTTTCACTGATGGTGGGACAAGATTTAATATCAGAATGATTCTCAGATTTTTTCTTTTTCAAAATGTTTCTACCTTCATTTATTTAAATTATACTTTAAGTTCTAGGATACATGTGCAGAACGTGCAGGTTTGTTACATAGTTATACACATGCCATGGTGGTTTGCTGCATCCATCAACCCGTCATCTACATTAGGTATTTCTCCTAATGCTATCCCTACCCTAGCCCCCTGTCCCCTGACAGCCCCTAGTGTGTGATGTTCCCCTCCATGTGTCCATGTGTTCTCATTGTTCAACTCCCACTTATGAGTGAGAAAATGTGGTGTTTGGTTTTCTGTTCCTTTGTTACTTAGCTGAAAGTGATGGTTTCCAGCTTCATTCATGCCCCTGCAAAGGACATAAACTCATCTTTTTTATGCCTGCATAGTATTCAATGGTGTATATGTGCCACATTTTCTTTATCCAGTGTATCATTGATGGGCATTTTAGTTGGTCCCAAGTCTTTGTTATTATGAATAGTACCACAATAAATATAAGAGTGCATGTGTCTTTAGAGTAGAATGATTTATAATTCTTCAGGTATATACCCAATAATAGAATTGCTGGGTCAAATAGTATTTGTAGTTCTGGATCGTTGAGGAATCGCCACACTGTCTTCCATAATTGTTGAACTAATTTACTCTCCCACCAACAGTGTAAAAGCATTCTTATTTCCCCACATCCTCTCCATCATCTGTTGTTTCCTGACTTTTTAATGATCACTATTCTAACTGGAATGAGATGGTATCTCATCATGGTTTAGGTTTGCATTTCTCTAATGACCAGTGATGATGAGCTTTTTTCATATGTTTGTTGGCTGGATAAATGTCTTCTTTTGAGAAATGTCTGTTCAAGTCCTTCACCTCCTTGATGGGGTTGTTTGTTTCTTCCTTGTAACTTTGTTAAAGTTCCTTGTAGATTCTGGATATTTGCCCTTTGTCAGATAGATAGATTGCAAAAAATTTCTAAGATCTAAAATCGACACCCTAATATCACAATTAAAAGAACTAGAGAAGCAAGGGCAAACAAATTCAAAAGCTAGTAGAAGAGAAGAAATAAGTAAGATCAGAGCAGAACTGAAGGAGATAGAGACATGAAAAACCCTTCAAAAAATCAATGAATCCAGCAGCTGGTTTTTTGAAAAGATTAACAAAATAGACTGCTAACCAGACTAATAAAGAAGAAAAGTGAGAAGAATCAAATAGACACAAGAAAAAATGATAAAGGGGATACCACCAATAATTCCCCAGAAATACAAACTACCATCAGAGAATACTATAAACACCTCTATGCAAATAAACTAGAAAATCTAGAAGAAATGGGCAAATTCCTGAACATATACACCCTTCCAAGACTAAATGAGGAAGAAGTCAAATCCCTGAATTGATCAATAACAAATTCTAAAATTGAGGCAATAATTAATAGCCTATCGACCAAAAAAAAATCCTAGAACCAGAAGAATTCACAGCCAAATTCTCCCAGAGGTACAAAGAGAAGCTGGTACCATTCCTTCTAAAACTATTCCAAATAACAGAAAAACAGGAACTCCTCCCTAACTCATTTTAGGAGGCCAGCATCAACCTGATACCAAAACGTGGCAGAGACAAAACAAACAGAAAATTGCAGGCCAATATCCCTGATGAATTTCAATGCAAAAATCCTCAATAAAATACTGGCAAACAGAATCTATCAACACATCAAAAAGCTTACCCACCACGGTCAATTCAGCTTCATCCCTGGGATGCAAGGCTGGTTCAACATAGGCAGATCAATAAATGTAATCCATCACATAAACAGAACCAATGACAAAAACCACATGATTATCTCAATAGATGCAGAAAAGGCCTTTGATAAAATTCAACACCCCTTCATGCTAAAAACTGTCAATAAACTAGATATTGATGGAACGTATCTCAAAATAATAAGAGGTATTTATGATAAACACACAGCCAAGATCATACTGAATGGGCAAAAGCTGGAAGCATTCCCTTTGAAAACCGGCACAAGACAAGTATGCCCTCTCTCACCACTCCTATTCAACATAGTATTGGAAGTTCTGGCCAGGGAAATCAGGCAAGAGAAAGAAATAAAGGATATTCAAATAGGAAGAGAAGAAGTCAAATTGTCTCTGCTTGCAGATGACATGATTATGTATTTGGAAAACCCCATCGTCACAGCCCAAAAACTCCTTAAGCTGATAAGCAACTTCAGCAGAGTCTCAGGATACAAAATCAATGTGCAAAAATCACAAGCATTCCTACACACCAATAATAGACAAACAGAGAGCCAAATCGTGAGTGAATTCCCATTCACAATTGCTACAAAGAGAATAAAATATTTAGGAATACAATTTACAAGGGATGTGAAGGACCTCTTCAAGGAGAACGACAAACCACTGCTCAAGGAAATAAGAGAGGACACAAACAAATGGAAAAACATTCCATACTCATGGATAGGAAGAATCAATATCATGAAAATGGCCATACTGCCCAAAATAATTTACTGATTCAATGCTATCCCCATTAAGCTATCATTGACTTTCTTCACAGAATTAGAAAAAACTACTTTAAATTTTATGTGGAATCAAAAAAGAGCCTGTATATCCAAGATATCCCATGCAAAAAGAACAAAGCTGTAGGCATCACACTACCTGACTTCAAACTATACTACAAGGCTACAGTAACCAAAACAGCATGGTACTGGTACCAAAAAAAGATATATAGACCAATGGAACAGAATATAGGCCTCAGAAATAACTCCACACATCTACAGTCATCTGATCATTGACAACCTGACAAAAACAAGCAACAGAGAAAGAATCCCCTATTTAATAAATGGTGTTGGGAAAATTGGCTAGCTGTACATAGAAACCTGAAACTGGACCCCTTCGTTATACCTTATACAAAAATTAACTCAAGATGGATTAAAGACTTCAATGTAATGCCTAAAACCATAAAAACACTTGAAGAAAACCTAGGCAATACCATTCAGGACATAGGCATGGGCAAAGACATCATGACTAAAACACCAAAAGCAATGGTAGCAAAAGCCAAAATTGACAAATGGGATCTAATTAAACTAAAGAGCTTCTGCACAGCAAAAGAAAGTATCATCAGAATTTCTACCCTCTTAACCCCATTCTCTTTATTCCTAGGTTCTTAATTCTTAAATGAAGTTCAAATTTCTCAGATCTTATAAGAGAGCCTCCATGACCTGATTCTTGTCTGCAGGTTCATTTTCTACTGCTCTGTATCTGATTTCCCTATTTTAATGTACATGTAGTTCCCAGATATTCTATCATATTTAAATTTTGCATTACTACTCATGTTTGCTTTCTTAGGATGCTCTTGGCTTCTGTTTTGTCTTATCTGATTAGTACTCATTTTTGGATACTTACCTCATATACAAACCTCTCACACACAAGCCATCATTAAATAATGATATGTGTTTATTATCTTTTTTTTTACTTTGATATCATTAACCACCAAATTTTCCAAGGAAAAAAATCACCTTATTTTGTTCCTCCAAGCATGACTGCGCCATTCCATTCAAATCGTAATCTCTTCTGTCTTGCCTTGAAAATGCTTTTCCAACCCTGCTGTGAAAGTTACCTTCATTCAAGCTGGTTTTACAAAAGCTACTTTAATTGTGTATTCACTTCTGATAGTTGTCAGAGTTAAGTTATTCTATGTAGGTCATGAAAGACTAGATATAAAGCTATTTTCAAGATAAGAAGGAATTTTGCCAAATTTTTACTCCATCATCATGCTAATGTCATGCTCTTTGCCATGCCTAGGTTGCCCAGCCATTTGCTCTTCAAGCTTGCCAAGACAACTTTAGAAAATACTATGAAAAATCTTCTATGTATGTATCTCTTCACTTTCCCATCACTTCTAATTTACAGATTAATAAAATTTCAAAGGATTTTGATGAGCATTTATGTTGCTATACATTCAAAGGAAAACATGTCAGATGCATTGAACTTACCAAGTGAAAATATACACAATTGACTGTAGTGTTCTAATAAATAGACTATTCCACTCAAATTCATGCTTTTTTTACTTCTTCCTTGCAATAACCACACAAAACCACTCAATAATAAAAGCAACAACAGGGTAATATTTAGCAATTTTATGTGACAAAAGAGCAACATCTGACATGTATCTGCCATATTTCATGGCTTAAATTATTTTTCTTTAAGTTTTTATGTGTAATTTTTTTTCAAAAGTTGCTTACCATTCAACATTTAGCATATGTACTTGTATTTAGGTGGTGTAAACTGCTTGTAATGAATTAAAATAATTACTTAATGTTACCCTTGGCTTGAATAAACTTCAAAGAGGTTTCCTTTTGACTATAAACCTCTGACCTCTCTTTTCTTAGAGCATTTACTTTAGAAACCTTGTAAATATTTTCTATGCTCCTTTCAAATATAGACAAATCTTTCGGGCCATTGCAGATATTAAACTAGGGAATGTCTTTCTTAAAGACCTGGGAGCCATCGTTTTGAAGTGAAATCGTGAAAAAAGATAGGTCTCTAATCTCCCAGTCTCAATGGAAGGGTAGGAGGCTCATTTTATAAGCCCCCGTAAGAAAATGCAGATGGCCTAATTACATTGACCAACCTCTTCACTAACATCCTTGTGCACCAGTACTTCTTATCTGGCTTACTTCAGGGCTTAAAAACTATCCCACATTTTGTTTCAACAGAATTGAGTTTAATCTCTCTCTTCTATTACAGCAGTCTCTCTTCCCTATTACATAGCCCTGAATTAAGTCTTCGTTACTCATTTAACTCCACCCAGTACAATTTTTCTTTGACAACTTTTTAACTCATTATAGTTTCATTAATCTGAAATAAAAATAGATTTTCTAATGTGTGACAAGAAGCAGTACGAAATCGAGTCTTCCTCCATGAAATAGCTATTTGTTAATTTAGTCAGCTTCTGATTTTATATAGAGCACTATAGCTGCAACATTTTTTCCATTTTTATATTTGTTTACTTTGATTTTTTAAAATTTATTTTATTAAGAATGATTATCAGTTTTGATTCCAGATTTTGCAATTATGAACTGATAACATTATAAAGTGTTCTCTGAGGTGGACTCCCAAAAGGGCCATGTAAAAGAGGCAAAAGGCAATCCTTTTAAGGAAATATAGGTATGTAGTCAGCATTAAAGCATTATCTAAACAATTAACTTTCAGAATATGCATCACAAGCAGAATACAAAATCAATGTACAAAACCAGCATTTCTATATGCCAACAGTAAACAAAACATGATTGATCAATAATCATTTGTTCTGGATATTAGCTTAGTTTGTTCTTTAATCATAAAAAAGTTATTTTAGAAATAGAATCCTCTTCATGTAAATGTTATAAGAAAGAGAAAAAATAGACAAATATTTCTTTAGAAAATAGTAGTACAGGCCATAAATAAACTAACTTTTACTATACCTTCCCCTAGATGATTGACAAAATCTGTTTTTTTGGTTTATAAAAAAATGTTTTATATCTAAAATTACGATTACTAAAATACTTAAAAATTCTTTTGTTATGTTTTTTCAAATATACTCAATGAAAATACTAAATAAATTCAAACTGTATGCTACATTTAATATGCTTAAAAATATTTAGAGCAGTACACTCTGATAAGTTGCATTTTAAATTTCCATATATCTAATGTGTGTCCGAGAGTAACTTACTGAATATCTTCAGACATAACTAAAGAAAACAAAACCTATGAGGTAAATATATCCTTCTTCCTAGTAGCAAGAGATATTTATTTTTTAAATAGAAAATAACAGAAGATAATAGAGGAAAGTCTTACAAAACATTTAGTAAACAACTCCAATTTTAAACAGAGAGACTCAACTTTGGGTTAAAAAGCCTAGACACCTTATAATAAAATAATAACTGGAAAAAATAGGTAAGACAGTATTAGATATTTCTAGATGAAGAGGTGATATTTAAATATTATTTACCATATGGCATCTTTTATTGTCCTATTTTCTTATTATTCACATTGTAACTGTCTTACTTATTACAAAAAGTAAAATGTATTCAAATATGTATCATAGTAAACTTTAAATGATGTCCTCTTAAGAGAGGGTATTTCTATATTAGCAGGAAGGCAGCAGAAAGGAGAAGTGGAAGGCCAAAATGAGTGGAGAGAACAAACTAACATAAGAAAGCTTAAAGCAGGAGAAAGACTGTGTAAGTGATTATAAAAATATTATGGCTAATGTATTTCATAATCCTTGCTGAACCCTATGTGTTTACATAAAATATATAAATTTTATGATGTTTTTCCTTCTCATATGGAGAACATGTTTTCTTCTTCTACTTCAATGAAGCTTTAATTTACAGAATTATATTTATTTTGATCTTGATCAGTCCTAAAATTTATCTACCAGTTTTAAAATCTTTGCTGTTCTTTAAAGAATAATATTGATATATTTCTGCTTTATCAGATTATTGCTCTAGGAACTTACTTTTTTTTAACTTGTGGGTTAAATAATTCATAGACTTTTTTGGTATGCTGATATTTCACCTTCACATGATGCAGTAAATGTGCGATCTAGCAGCAATGTGCATCAGGCCTTCTTACCTCAAACTGAAAATTCAGAACAACAGAAACTCATGGTGTACTGTTTAAATATAAATGGATAAATTTTTCCATCAAAAATAATGTGTATACTTTGTTTCTTTTCTTTTTTCTCCGTGATATAATATAAGCCAACAAGTTACTAGAATACTGATGAAAATATACATATTTCTAAATATTGTATATACAAACATATATATATATATATGTCTCTGTGTGTGTATATACATGCAAGCATAAACACATCTTGTGAGTATTATCTAAATATTCCTCAGTGGATAAAGTAGAGGGGAATAGACTAAAAATTATGACTTTGCAACCATAATAGTTTAAAGAGCTATCATTTATCTCATATGTGACTGGCATTGATTATCAATCTATACATCAGTAGGGCTAGCTATATTCCCCAATAGTGTGTATAATAGGTGTTGATGGTGCAGAGTAGAATAGCTTTTTGACACATAAATTAGTTATGTCCTCTATAATCATTCAGACTCTGACAGCTCAAATGCTTATCTTAACAGAGATGACTTTGTTTTTGCCAGTAAATGTGTTCCACGTAAGAGTTGCTGAAGGAAATAAAATATGTGACATTTCAATTTCAATTTCTAAAACAATGTTCTCATTCATTTTGCTTAAGAATTTGGGATATAGAGAGAGATTGGAAAGCTCAAAGATACAAAAACATAAATGCTAGTTTTACTTCAGCCTGTGTATTTTGAACATGTGCTTACCAGTAACAAGCATATTAAAAAAAGAATGTCTGCATAATTTAATATAATATTTTTAATCCTTCAAAACCTTGACTAAATATTCAGAGGTTGGAGTTCAAATATCTTCACAGATATAGAGAGCTTTTGAAATCTAGGAGTCAGTTAAGTACTTTAATTATTTAAAATAATCTGGGATTTTAAATAAAAATGATTGATTATTAAAAGATGACAATAATTATTGAAGATTAAATTTCTGGAAAGAAATTATGTAATTATTTAAGACTTAACCTTTAGAATAGTTAATGAGTATATTGAAGGAGAAAAAATTTAACGGGAGAAAAATATTATCTGATGCATGATGGTAAGCATTACAATTATAGAAGATTAATGTCAAGCAAAATACTCATTAAATGTATTTGATTTAAAAAATCAGTGATTATATATATAATTACTGATACATATATTATATATATATTCAGTTATATATATGTATATTCAGTTATATATAATATATACATATTCAGTTTAATATTATGGCTTACATGGCTTAAAGGTATTTGATTTAAAATATCAATAGTTTTATATGTATATATAATTGGTTTACTATCATGGCTTCATTTACTTATAATTTATTTCTTAGATTTTAAATTAGAAGTTAACACACACACAAACAAGTACATAAAACATAAAGCTACCATTTAATCAATACAAAGAAACAATTCATACACCCAGAACTTAGATCAAGAAAAGGAACACAGCAACATAAAAACCCTCCTCATGCATTATTTCCTCTTCCTCTCCAAAAGTGACCACAATTCAAAAATTCCAGCTATTAGTTACTTGTTTTAGAATTTTTATAAAAGCAAAATCAGAGGAATTGTTATCTATGCTATAGAGATCTGAAAAGTGTCCCTCACACCCTCACAAACAGAGGACAAGATAAAAAAGAAAAAAGTAAAGAAAAGAAAGGAAAAGAGAGAAAGAGAAAGAAAGTGGAAGAGAAATAAAGTGAAAGAAAAAGAAGGAAAGAAATAAAAAGAAAGAAAGAAAAGAAAGAAAGAAAGAAAAGAAAGAAAGAAAGAAAGAAAAAGAAGAAAAGACAGACGACAGTAAAGTGAAAATTAATGAATTTACTTGAAACAGTCAAAGAACTGAGGTAACAGGGTAAACAACTTACTCAAAATCTATGAAGAGATAGGGGCCTACAGGAGAAAAAGTATTCTGGCTTTTGTTTACTTGGAATGTACTCACGAACTATATAATCCATTAGAAAATTTAGCTTGAAAACTTTACAAATTGCTTAAAACAAAGTCTGTAGCATGAGAATGGAAAAGACACTGAGGGCCAAAGACACATAGTGGGATTCAAACCCCTTTATAGAATTTTCTTTCAGAAACCCTAACAAGCAATCACAGAGTAGATTGGAAAGCATTCTGAGAAAACATCTCCCATTATGCTGGCTGGACAAAGGGACCAGCAGCAACTGTCTCACTCTTACTCACCATCTTATCTCCTCTAAGTAACAAACCATTATTTGAAGGGAAAGGGTCAACAAAGCTATAAGCTTTCAACACTGGTGGAAACCCATTATACTTGAGAGAAGCAGGACAGGGGGAAAAATATATCTACCCTTGGGGAACAGGAATAAGTAGTAGGTCCAGAATTTTATCTGAGGAAGGAAAGTAACACAGGTGAAAGCCACACCTCTAAGACCCAAGCTCTCATGTCCACCAAAGATGTATTCAGAACATCAGAAACATCAGAAAAGAACCTTTTCTTTATTTTCTAATTCCTTGTTCAATTTTGATCATTTGTATTTTATTGAGAAAATGTCCATTTATTATAGTTTAACAAACGTATTGCTAGGGGGTTGCACATATATTTTCCTGTAATATTTTCATTTTTTATTATTTGAATATTTTATAATTTGCTAGTAAGTATCAAGTAAAAATAATATTTCCATATATCTATGACTGTTGAAATAGACAGATTTTCTCTGGAATACAGACCACAGGAAAAACATAAAGAAAATAGAGAGTAAAATTAAAACACAGCCACACTTCTCATTATGTAACACAAACTTTGACACTAAAAACCTAGGAGAAAAAAGGCATGCTCACCCTCAAGAATAAGATATATTCACCTAAATGTCATCCAGGGGTAAAAAAAAATATTTTGGTAATATCTCAGCTAGCAAATATTTTAGATGTTATAAGCATTATTATCTCTGTCATAACAAGTCAACTTATCAAACATAATAATGAAAGCAGTATTAGATATTACATGAAGCTTTCTCAAGAGGAAGAGGAAGAGCAAGATGGTAGAATAGAAACTTCCAACAATCGTTCCTTCACCATAAGGACGCCAATTTAACAACTATCTACACAATAAAGGAAGCTTCATAATAATAAATCAGGAGAGTACTCAAAGTACCAGACTTTAACTTCATATTGCTTAAAAAGGCACTGAATGAGATAGGAAAAAAAAAAAAAAAAGACTGAATTGCTGATGCAATCTCTAGCTAATCCCTTGGCATAATAAGAAGACCATTTTTATGCATTGAGGAGGAGGAGGGCACGTCAATTCTAAGACACTGAGCTCAGTGTTTCACTCTAATGGCAGAAAGTAAAGCCAGGCTAAAATCAGCTAATACCTGCCCAAAGAGGGAGCATTTAAGAAAGAAGGGGAAGAAAATGCCACAAAACAGAGACAAGGACAAAATGGCAAGAGTAAGTCTTTACTTGTCAATAATAACATTGAAAGTACATGGACTACATAATCCAATCAAAAGACAAGAGTGGCTGAATGAGTTAAAAAAAGAGACCCAATGATCTGTTGCCTACAGAAAACACATGCCACCTACAAAGATTCACATAGACCAAAAACAAAGAGATTGAAAGGGATATTCCATGCCAATGGATCAAAAAATTTCAGGAATAGCTATATTTATATTGGACAAAATAGATTTCAAAAGGGGCCAAGATGGCTGACTAGAAGTAGCTGCTGTCAGGGACTCCCACTGAGAAGAACGAAATGATGAGTGAACCCTGCACCTTCAGCTGAGGAATCCAGGTTCTCTAATTGGGACTGACTAGGCAGTTGACATGACCCATGGAGAGCAAGGAAAAGCAGGGTGGAGTGATGGCCTACCTGGGAGCTGCATGGGGCAAGGGGAGCTCCTACCCCCAGCCAAGGGAGGCAGTGAGTGATTGTGCTACCTGACCCAGGAAATCACACTTTTTCCACAGATCTGTGCAACTCGTGGATCAGGAAATCCCCTTGTGAGCCCAAGCCACCAGGGCCTTGAGTCTCAAGCACGGAGCTGTGCAGATACTAGGTGGCCACTTGGGTTCAATAATTGAAACATGGGGAAATCAACCAGGCTTGTGTCCTTCCCTTCAGGGCAACAAGTTCCCCCTTGCACAGGCAGGTCAAGAAGTGCCATTTGTAAGCCAGACACTACAGGCAAAAACCTTGAATGTCTGTTGTTCTATAGTACTATGGCTGAGCTGGCACTCAAACCACAAGATACAGTCATTCCCACCCTTCCCTTCCCTTTCCACAGGCAGAGGAGCCTCATTCCATGGCCGCCACCAGAAGAGTACAGGCCCACAGTACTTCCAGGCTACAGCTAAGGCCCAAGGGCTCTCTGGTGAATTTGTGGTGAATATTACCTGGTCTAGGACTCACACTTAATGACAGTAGGCTCCCCTCTGGCCCAGGGAAGGTCCAGAAATGACATCATAAAGTCAAGACCTTGAAATGGGGACTCAAGAGCCCTCTTGCTGCTCTACCCCTCTGTGGCTAAGATAGTACTTACAGTGCAAAACAAATTCCCCTTTACTTTTCCCAAGCAGAAGGTGCCTCTCCCCATGGCCACCACAGTTGGGAATGTTCTGAGTCTCACCTGAAGCCAGGGAGTCTCAGAGTGTCACCCAAGGCCCATGGCATACTACCTTCATAGTGCTGTCAATACCCAGGGCTTTTTAATCAGCAGGTCATGGCTCCTGCCAGGACTGAGTTCTTTTCTTCAAAGCAGCACCTTCCCTTCTACCCCAGGTTGTGTCTAGAAATGTCATCTGGGAGCCAAAGCCTGGAATGGAGCCTCATCACTCTGACCAGTGCCCTGTCCTACTGTGACTGAGCTGGTATCCAAAATGCATGACAAAGTCTTCTTTCCTTTTTCCTCTCCTCTTCTCAAGCATAAAAATGGGTCTGTTTTGGCGCCCTGAGCTGTGTGGCCTGGGTATCAGGGAGGGGTGGCACAAGCACTCCCTTAGCCACACTTGCTGTTGTTGCAGTAGGTTGCATGTCCTCATGTCCACTGGCTCTGAGCCCTGTTCAGCACTGGAACTCAACTAAGAGTTGCAGGCCCTGTGGCTTAGAATGCCTTTCGAGTTATTTGGAGCCCCACAGCACTTTAACCCATGGGGGAAAGGCTTCTGGGAATGGAAATTATGACCATTGCAATGGTTGATTCCCCTCTGGCTAGGGCTGGTTTAAATACTTCCTTTTTGGTTGGGTGCCAGCTGAGTTCAGATCAGTTTTGCTTTCTGTTGTGACAGGGAAGGACTGTGTTCAATGCAATGTTTCACAAGTGATGTACTCTCCCAAGTGCACAAATTCTCTCTCTGTGCCATGTGGTACCTGTCAAGGGATGAGAGAGGGATAGCATCAGCATTTCAAGATTGTCTTTTCTTCCCTCTTCAGTGCCTCTTTCAGTGATATAAAGTTAGAACCAGGTACTCTGAGTGCTTGCCTAATTTTGGTTCTTATGAAGGTGATTTTGTGTCTGTAGATAGTTGTTAATTTGTGTCTTTGCAATGGGATGATTAATGGAGCCTCCTATGCAGCCGTCATGCTCTGGTCTGCAAGCATAATAATGTTTTCACAAGGTAATCCTGGAAATGGCAATTACTAAATTTATAGAAGAATTCAAGTCACAATTTTAAGAGGTACACATATTTTTAAAAGAATACACATACACACACATATTCTCTCTGTATCTCTGTTTTTCTCTTTATAATAATATTTCTTCATTTTCACATGTCTGATCTACAATACAATTCCTATTGCCTTCTTTAAGGAATTACCATAAAGTAAGAAAGATAAGAGCTGGCTGTTTGAGGTTTAGTTCACTGCTTTTGCCTTATTCACGTCCGGCAAAATCTGTGCTTAAAAGTAAAATTGCGTTTGATTTTACAATTTGGTCTCATTTTTGAATCAATAAGCTCTTTCAATAAAGCTTAATCTATTTCTGGATCTTTAGGCCATCATACTTGGAATAAGAAAACCCACAAATTCAGAATGTACTTTCTATAGAATTTTAGCCTCTCTTTCTCGATAATTTTTAAAAAGTGTTTTGTGTATACGTTTTTTCAGCTTTCTCTAAATGCCGAATTCCCATATCCTACTCCTCCACACATACTTACATTTTTTTTTCTAAATTTAGTTTGATAGAAGCAACTGATTATATATTAAGTATCTTTATTAGTTGAATTAAAAGACAATGGGTGGCAATGGGATGTCAAGGAGAGTTATGTATTTAATCACCTTTTTTAATTAAAGTATTAAGAATTATCAGAGAAAGTGTGGAGCACTTTCAGACGGCAAAGTAGATCCCCTACAATGAAATATCACCTCACCCCAGTTAGAATGGCTATTATCTAAAAGACAACACATATCAAATGCTGGTAAGGATATAGAAAAAGGGGTACTCTTATGACTCTGTTGATGGGAATGTAAATTAATAGAGCCATTATAAAGCACAGTATGAATGTTCCACAAGAAAATGAAAAATAGATCTATCATACTATCCCACAATCCCAGTGCTTGGTATATATCCGAAGAAGGAAAATTAGTGTATTGAAGAGATATTTGCATTTCCATGTTTATTTCAACACTATCCACAACATCCAAGATATGGAATCAACCTAAATGTTCATGAATTGATTAATGGATAAAGAATATGTGGTACATATAGACAATGAAATTACAAGGGAATTCTATTAAACCATAAAATGGATGGAATCTGTCATTTGAAAAAAAATATAAATTAGTTTGGAGGACATTATGTTAGGTGAAATAAGCCAGGCACAGAAAGACAAATATTGCCTGATCTCACTCACTTGTGGAATCTTTTATTTTATTTTATTTTATTTTAAAAAGATGTCATGAAATTTGAGAGTGTAATAGTGATTATCAGAGACTGGGAATAATAAAGGACAGAGGAGATTAGGAAATTTTGGTCAGGGAGCAGAATGTTACAGTTAGATAGGAGGAATACGTTATGGTATTATATTGCATAGTAGGGTGGTTACAGCTAACAGTAATGCATTCCATATTTAACTTAACTAGAAAAGAGGATTTTGAATATTCTCAGAACAAAGAAATGATAATTATTTAAGATTATAAACAAACAATTGCAATGATTTGATCATCATACAATGTATGCATGTATGGAAACATTACATTGTACCTATGAATAGGTACAATTACTATGTGTTAATTTTAAAAATTCTTATAGCTAATTTGCTTGCCAGACAGTGATGTCTTGTTCTTTCTAATCTTAATAGAAATTATCGTACAACAGAAATTCATTTAGAAACTTTGAAAACTTTGAAGAGGTTAAGAACATGTCATTTTATTAAATTGTTTTAGGCATAAATGACTTTTGGAAATGTTTTCTATGTTTGCATTTCTTCATATCTGCATAAAAATTGGTATTGCATGTTGTCATGTATCATCTTGACTTGCTTAAATAGATATATATGGAACTTTTTTCCTCGTCCTCATACAAAGTGGAATTGTCTCTTAGGTATTGACTGTCTGTCACATTTCATAGACTATGGCATCAATATCCAGATGTTGTGACATTTAATACTAATAATCAGTCATATATTTTCTTTCTAGTTCAATTCCAGTGAACAAACAAGTGCCACCACCCTCAAAAATAAACAATGATAAAATTTAATATTCTAGCATGTATACTTTTTATAATTGGTTTTCATAATTTTTGAGGTTCAAAATTAGTTATAACATACATTAAGGAGTTTATTAAATAATGATATAGTAAATATCATAAGATAACATGTGAAACTTTATAAAGTAAATATTCTAAGCACACAAATAATTTATATGTCACATAAACATTAAAAGTATGAATATATTCAAAGTAAATATTTCAAATTTTCAAAATTTAAGATTGTAATTGTTTTAACTTCAGGACCTTTAATTTGCTATGAGAAGCTCAAATTTTTGGTTTAAATAATTTTCTATGTCAATATTTATCTTATATTCCCATATTGATCCTTATAAAAGGTAAAACTAAGCAAGCTATGAGGTTAAAGAATGGAGTTTACATTACAGGTTGTATTAATTCTGTGATCTTGAGTAATGCTACAGCCTCATGACAGTGTTCACTTAAGAAATCACTCTATGGCCGGGCGTGGTGCCTCATGCCTGTAATCCCAACACTTTGGGAGGCTGAGGTGGGCAACTCACAAGGTCAAGAGATAGAGATCATCCTGGCGAACGTGGTGAAACCATGTCTCTACTAAAAATACAAAAATTAGCCTGGTGTGGTGGCACATGCCTGTAGTCCTAGCTACGTGGGAGGCTGAGGCAGGAGAATCACTTGAACCCAAGAGGCAGAGGTTTCAGTGAGCTGAGATCCCACCACTGCATTCCAGCCTGGTGACAGAGTGATACTCCATTCTCAATAAATAAAAAAATAAATAAATAAATAAATAAATAACTTTACTTCAGCTATATGTAAATAGATCAGATAAGTAAAGAAATAATATGCATTATTTCCCTTTTTGAAGGTTACTAATTCCAAATCTTTTTTTTTTATTATACTTTAAGTTTTAGGGTACATGTGCACAACGTGCAGGTTAGTTACATATGTATACATATGCCATGCTGGTATGCTGCACCCATTAACTCATCATTTAGCATTAGGTATATCTCCTAATGCTATCCCTCCCCCCTCCCCCCACCCCACAACCATCCCCAGAGTGTGATGTTCCCCTTCCTGTGTCCATGTGTTCTCATTGTTCAATTCCCACCTATGAGTGAGAACATGCGGTGTTTGGTTTTCTGTCCTTGTGATAGTTTACTGAGAATGATGATTTCCAATTTCATCCATGTCCCTACAAAGGACATGAACTCATCATTTTTTATGGCTGCATAGTATTCCATGGTGTATATGTGCCACATTTTCTTAATCCAGTCTATCATTGTCTGACATTTGGATTGGTTGCAAGTCTTTGCTATTGTGAATAGTGCCGCAATAAACATACGAGTGCATGTGTCTTTATAGCAGCATGATTTATAGTCCTTTGGGTATATACCCAGTAATGCGATGGCTGGGTCAAATGCTATTTCTAGTTCTAGATCCCTGAGGAATCGCCACACTGTCTTCCACAGTGGTTGAACTAGTTTACAGTCCCACCAACAGTGTAAAAGTGTTCCTATTTCTCCACATCCTCTCCAGCACCTGTTGTTTCCTGACTTTTTAATGATTGCCATTCTAACTGGTGTGAGATGGTATCTCATTGTGATTTTGATTTACATTTCTCTGATGGCCAGTGATGGTGAGCATTTTTTCATGTGTTTTTTGGCTGCATAAATGCCTTCTTTTGAGAAGTATATGTTCATATCCTTTGCCCACTTTTTGATGGGTTTGTTTGTTTTTTTCTTGTAAATTTGTTTGAGTTCATTGTAGATTCTGGATATTAGCCCTTTGTCAGATGAGTAGATTGCAAAAATTTTCTCCCATTCTGTAGGTTGCCTGTTCACTCTGATGGTAGTTTCTTTTGCTGTGCAGAAGCTCTTTAGTTTAATTAGATCCCATTTGTCAATTTTGTCTTTTGTTTCCATTGCTTTTGGTGTTTTAGACATGAAGTCCTTGCCCATGCCTATGTCCTGAATGGTAATGCCTAGGTTTTGTGCTAGGGTTTTTATGGTTTTAGGTCTAACATGTAAGTCTTTAATCCATCTTGAATTAATTTTTGTATAAGGTATAAGGAAGGCATCCAGTTTCAGCTTTCTACATAAACAGACCTGCAGCTGAGGGTCCTGTCTGTTAGAAGGAAAACTAACAAACAGAAAGGACATCCACACCAAAAACCCATCTGTACATCACCATCATCAAAGACCAAAAGCAGATAAAACCACAAAAATGGGGAAAAAACAGAGCAGAAAAACTGGAAACTCTAAAAAGCAGAGCGCCTCTCCTCCTCCAAATCTTATAAATAACTGCATCGTGCTTCAGTTACTTGATTTCAAAAAGGGAAAGAAAGAACTTGATATGTGTTCCCTTTACTTTTCCACCACTGATTAAAGTAAAGGATTATCTCTCTTCAAATTTAATTAATTTTTCAAATAGGCTAATGTTTTGTCAATTCACCTCTGTCTTTTTATCATCTTAAAATCAATCTAATCAAGTAGTACATTAATTTTCCTGGTAGGTATGTTGGATGGAAGGAGGGGATAGTGAGGAGATAAGGTAATGTTAGCTTCTGCAAAAATAATGTCACAAAAATCTGCTATGCACCACTAAGATTCCAAGCAGGTATTCCTAATTGACAAGAAGCCCTTTTCCAAGCTGTGAATAAAATACCCAGCATTAATCTATCCTTGCCTTCTCCACCTTAACATGTGGCTTAAAAGTTCTTTGTACTACTTTGCATACAGCTGTCTGATGGAAAAGAGAATTATATGATGATCAAACATGAATCATCATGTAAGTGGAACACATAATTTTTATTCACATTTCGAAGACTATAAAGTCATGTGACCACACTTAAGTGGAAGAGAAACTGGGAACTTTAGTCCAACTGTGTAAACAGAGCAGGAGGAAAACAGTAAAATGACCAGCTATTCAGTTTCCTCTCTGATTTTCCAGGTCGGTTTTCCAGACACCTTACTTCCCATATGGATAACAGTTATTTAATTTTTAAGGGACACTTAATCAATGAGAATAATCTAGGTTATGGTAACTAACAGAGAATGGCAATATATCAGTGGCTAAATGCCATCAACATATATTTCTCAATCACAATACCTGCCCAACACAGTGCAGCAGAGGGCTTTGATTTCTGTGATTATTTACTAAGGCAGATAAATGAAATCTCCATTAAGGTATATACTTCTATGATTACCATGTTTGGTGAGGAGAACATGGAACTCACATAATTTCCACCAATACTTAAGCAGCTACACCAAATCAGTTATCAGTGCTAACTTCAAAAATTGTACAGAAGATTGTGCCTAAAAGAAGGAGAAATGCATTATATGTCAGGTCTTAATGACTATCACACAATCCCAAGTCTCCCCATAAATGTTCAAGCTATGAACTAAAAAGAAAAGCCATGGGCCCTACCCATTCCATATAATGCTAAACATTGAGAAAATGACCATGACAAAACTCCCTTTCTGAATAGTAGAGACTGGAAATTTTACACAGCAATCACTGGTTTATTACAATTATGAAATCCTGCTGAGTACTTGTATTATTCCATTCTCACACTGTTTTAAAGAACTAACTGAGCCTGTGTAATTTATGAAGAAAAAAGGTTTAATTGACTCACAGTTCCACAGGTTTAATGGGAATCATGACTGGGAAGCCTCAGGAAACTTACAATGTCTTACCATGGCAGGTCAAGAGACAGTGACCGCGAGGGGGAAGTGCACACACTTTTAAACAATCAGACCTTGTAAGAACTCTGTCACAAGACAGCACTAGAGGGATGGTGCTAAACGATTAGAAACCATCCCCATGATTCAATCACTTCCCACCAAGCCTCACCTTCAACACATGGGGATTACAATTTGACATGAGATTTGGGTAGGGACACAGAGCCAAACCACTTCAGCAGCATTTGTGAAAGCTTCCTTCATTGTGGATGGGGAGCTTCCTTAATAAGACTGATTTTGTTCTGTTGGTAGGAACAGCTTGTCAATGATCTACAGTGTCGCCTATGTGAGTGTGTGTGTGTGTGAGTGTGTGCATGTGTGTTTTTGAGCGTATGTGAGTGGGTGTTTGCACCTTTGTGAAGTCCTGCCTTGCTCATCATCCTCCAATGCATCATCGAAGTGATTACAGGGAAGAATGCCCTTTCAAGTGGCTGTACACCTTTCAACTACTTATATTTTGCTGCTGAAAGTTTAGTGACAAAACAGTAGTTTAATGCTTAAATAGACAAAGCCACTATTATGTTAATCTCTTGGTGTCCTTGATAAAACAATTTCTTCAAAAAAAAGCAGACTTCTGATCTGTTTGCTTCTAGAAATGTCTATATTACAGTGACCTCACTTAGTTTTCTTTTTCTAGACCCAAGTCTCAAGTTTGCTTTGTTTCTCAACTTATTCAGCCTATTCACTCTCATTTAACATAAGGCCACCTAAAAATATAAGCTTGAGTACAAAGGCTTGCACTTTATCAGAAGACAAAATGATCTTGTTTAACAGGAAACTTAATATTATCACCCAAACATTGGTGCATTTTTACTAGATTTGGGGCCTACAAGAAGGTTGGTTTTCTAATCTTGTGAAGCCACACATTTCTGGAATTTGTTCTCTTACATTTCTGTCTGGAAACTGTCAATTCTTCTCTGTGCCTGAGCTCATCTCTCTTGTTTAGTACTGTAGTAAAAGCAGAAAATAAATGCCAACAAACACTATCACTCCATTTCTTTCCAAACACTTCCCACAGAGCTGAAGTCTTGTCAGAGACATGCACTGCTTTCCAACTTGTCAACTATAACAATTTTACCAACTGTGCTGTCTCTGCATAAAAAAGGACTTTAGTTTTCTAACTGCTGACATCAATTTCTTGGCAGATCATCATTAAACTGTTTAGCTAATTATATCTATATCAGTTATGGCAGCACCTTACCATCAAATTAGTTCTCTGTTGGTTAAATAGACTCTAATGCCTGAAACAAATAACTGTAACATGTGGAATGGTACAATCAACAGTCTAATATGTGTCATGGTACACCAACAGCCAATACACTCTAAAATGTGTGTCGGTATAAATAATTTACATATTGGTTAAAGAAACTAGTTTCTGAAACAAATGAGTCTAACATGTGTAATGGCACAAATAAGACAGAATACTTTTCTCAGTGCAATTTGGTGTCTCAAATGCATGTTCTTAGTCTGTAACTCATTCTCTTAAAGTTTGTTTATAAATCTCCCAGGAGCCAAGAGTATTTAGGTTAATATTTATGCATAAACCTTATCACTTTGCCACATAAAACACACTACCATATAGTTTTTCTCCCACCTTTCTTCTTTATTAGTAAATATATGTTACAGTAAATATAGATGGTTAGTAGTAAATATATGTTTTTATATGTTATAGGCCTACAGATTAGCTTATATCTCTGATGAAATCAGAATTCTTTCTAAATCACTTTTCTTTTAACTACAGCTTCTACTGTTTTAAAGAGTGTCCCTAGGCTTGAATTTCTTCATGTTCTTTTGCAAAGAAAGTCAATCCTTTGGGGAGGTGTTTGTGCTCTCTGTTCTATGACTTACTTAGGAAAAATCTATAAGCCATTATTCTGATGCTGAAAATGGGAAAATAACATATTTCTCTCTATTTGACACCCTTAATTTAGTTGTTGATTGCTCAGTGGATGGGGGAGACACAGGCCTAGACCTCCTCAGTTTGCCCATTTTGGCATGAAACCCTTACGCCATTAGTCAGAAAAATCACTCTCAGAGTTTTAATATTCTTACTGGCAGCACAGCGTAAGTAAAGCCTCTGTCTCACAAGTGGACGCTGGGCAGAAGCAAGCAGCCTCCACCTCTTAGCTTCACTCTCCAGAACTTATGTTTAGCAACAGGGAGTTAGGGCAGGAAATTAAATGCTGAAGTTCTACCTCTTCTGGGTAAATAGACCTCTGACTGGAAGTTGGGAGAGAGGAAGCCCTATCTTACTGTCTAACTAATCTGAAGTGGAGCTTCTGTTTTACCGAGTTGGAAGGGAAATGGAATGCTACAGGTGTTGATTAAGATCCAACATACTCTCACAATTCCTACTGAGTTTTAGATTTTATTAAACAAATATTCTTTATTATTGCTATGAACTTAAGTTCATTTCCAGATAAATGGTTTTGTTTTATATATAATTTTCACCTGTTTCACTGGGGAGTGAGTTTATGGAGCTCCTCACACTATCATGGTTCAAGTGGAACTTCTATACCCTATCTTTTAAATGCATATTTTCCAAATGCTTCACTTAATACAGCAGTTAGTAGAACCAGGCTTCCATCCATAAAAAACTTAATATTTCTTTAATTTTTATGTATGACCCATTTGCACTGACAGAATCAGGGCTCATCATTATATTCAGCTCATTGAGAGTTGTCGGTCCAATCTTACTTGTGCTATGTGAAAGCCAAGAGGTTTACTCCATGTTGAGGGTTGCTGCTGAGCATGACAAATCTTTATTATACTCTCTGAATAAGGGCCTTTGTAGATGTGTTGGACAACCATAATTTAGAGGAAATATTGGAATATTTGAGTTTCTTCTACTTATTTTATCTATAACCAGTTCATGTCTAATCCCATTTATTCAACTTCTGATAAAACCTATAGATTTATCATCTGTTTAACATATATCCCTTCCAAACTCCTAGTTAAGTGATAATAAAGTGGTAGAAACCCTTAGAACTAAAATAAGAGCCTAAAGAAAAGGGAAATAAATTTCAACAACTTTTGGAAAGATGTAGAAGATGAAAGAATGAGTGATAAATGACAGTAAAACGGGGATCATAGCTATAGGGGGATATTGAACATTAACTTGAATTGTAGAACACTATATTTACAGGATTTTGAAGCACCACTTATCATAGGAAGCAGGGATAAACAAAGAGTTTAAATATTAGGTGATTAGGTGAAAATTTTGTACACCAAAGTTAGGAGCGTGCAGCATAGAGATTATCTCATCTGCCTGTTGATTCTCTTCCACTCTCTGCAAGTCATTTTTCCATGCGCCAATTTACATATTACATGGGAGATTAAAGGAAGTTTTTTACTACCTGAAGAGATTGAATCTGAGTGACAGTATAGCCACACTAGCATAGTGTTGCCTGATTTAACAAATAAAAATACAGGAGGCCCAGTGAAGTTTGAATTTCAGATACACAAAAAGAAAACAATATACAATATCATGAAAATAGAAAAAAAGTTATAAAGTAAACAGTGAGGAGGGCATTTATACATAGAAACTAAATCAAATTATATATAATTAATCAGGTGATGGTAAATTGTTAGATTTCTCAGAACATCACACACCGGGGCCTGTTGTGGGGTGGGTGGAGGGGGGAGGGATAGCATTAGGAGATATACCTAATGTTAAATGAGGAGTTAATGGGTGCAGCACACCAACATGGCACATGTATACATATGTAACTAACCTGCACGTTGTGCACATGTACCCTAAAACTTAATGTATAATTAAAAACAAAAAACAAAAAAACAAATCATGTTGGGAAAACTAGATATTCATATGCAAAATAATGAAGTTGGACCCTTACCTTATTATCATACAAAATTTAACTATAAATAGATTAAAGACATAAATGTAAGAGCTAAAACTATGAAACTCTTAGATGAAAAATAACTTGAAGCTCCTTGTACTTGAGAGTCATGAATGGAATAAAATTCTTACCCATCTGTGGCAAAATAAGAAAAAAGAAAAAGAAAAAAAAAAAGAAAACAGAACAATGCTCCAAAATTATGAAAGGGTGATTTGTTCTTAGAACACTATAGATGAAGCAGTAATTCTTTTAGATATTAAAGACCTCCTAAAACTACTTTTCATATATGAGACAAACTGTGATTCAGAAAAAAAAGAAAAAAATAAACAAGAAAGTTAACCTACAGTTAGGATGTTATAGTATTCAGCAAATAAAAGTTTTACGTAAGAGGGCAGAGATAAAAATTTCAGAAAGAATGTCATAAAACAGGCCTGGAAAAGGACCAGACCAGATTGAATCAGGAGAATGAAGGAGATTTCTAGAAAATTAAATTTAATGAATAAATTATCGAATGTGTTTGGATATTTGGTAAATATTATCAAAAGTTTTTTGATAATACTTTTGATAGCTCTGTTGAGAACACTATGGATGAATAGATAAAAACAGTACAAATAAAGAAATAATGAGCTCTTCCAGTTCTGGACAAGATGTAGTATCAGGGACAGAATTTTTCCCCACACCTGAAATAATTATAAAAACAAAAACAAAATCAAAGAAGAAATAGACAAAATGTATACAATACAGTAATGTAATGTATTTAAAATGATTATATAAAATGTATACAATACAGTAATGTAATGTATATAAAATGATTATATAAACAGAATTATGTGAGATCAAAAGTGAAGAATTGAATAAGTCAAATTTGCTTCATATGTTATTTCAATTTCAAAGAAGAGATTTAATTGATAGAATTGCTGTCTTGTTTTGCCATCATCTACACTGAGATTAGAGACAGATAAAAAATGGCTCACATTTGGAATTACTTTGGAGCTAGACTCAAAATTTAGCTTTATTACTGGTAAGACTAAACTGGCAAAGGTAGAATGGACATGCAGCCAAATATGTGTGAACTCCAGACGAGAGTCCTACCATGCCACAGGTGGTGCCGGACAACTGACTGTCACCAGCAGATCACACAGAGTTTTGTAGATAGACTGAATCCAAAGAGAGCACTCCCAAAAGCAGAATCATCATATTATTTTTTCTCTCCCAAATGTAATAATCAGAAAAATCACTCCTTTTTCTAGGAAAAATAGGAGCCTTGGAGATGCTGGAATATTTCTCTTCTGCTGTCCTTTCCTAAAATGGAGTAAAAAGTCCCTTCCTTATATGTAAATACATGAGGAAGACATGTTCCCTGTCATATGGAAAGAGAAAATTCTGACATGTCTCAGAAGCAAACAAATAAACTAAACAGACAGACATAGATATACACTTTTTCTTTCTTATTTATGTACACAATAGACATTCTATTTTTTTATTATTATTATACTTTAAGTTTTAGGGTACATGTGCACAATATGCAGGTTAGTTACATATGTATATATGTGCCATGCTGGTGTGCTGCACCCATTAACTCATCACTTAGCATTAGGTATTTCTCCTGATGCTATCCCTCCCCCATCCCACCACTTAACAACAGTCCCCAGAGTGTGATGTTCCCCTTCCTGTGTCCATGTGTTCTCATTGTTCAATTCCCACCTATGAGTGAGAACATGCGGTGTTTGGTTTTTTGTCCTTGCGATAGTTTACTGAGAATGATCATTTCCAATTTCATCCATGTCCCTACAAAGGACATGAACTCATCATTTTTATGGCTGCATAGTATTCCATGGTGTATATGGGCCACATTTTCTTAATCCAGTCTATCATCGTTGGACATTTGGGTTGGTTCCAAGTCTTTGCTATTGTGAATAGTGCTGCAATAAACATATGTGTGCACGTGTCTATAAAGACATATAGCAGCATGATTAAAAGTCCTTTAGGTATATACCCAGTAATGGGATGGCTGGGTCAAATGGTATTTCTAGTTCTAGATCCCTGAGGAATCACCACACTGACTTCCACAATGGTTGAACTAGTTTACAGTCCCACCAACAGTGTAAAAGTGTTCCTATTTCTCCACATCCTCTCCAGCACCTGTTGTTTCCTGACTTTTTAATGATTGCCATTCTAACTGGTGTGAGATGGTATCTCATTGTGATTTTAATTTGTATTTCTCTGATGGCCAGTGATGGTGAGCATTTTTTCATGTGTTTTTTGGCTGCATAAATGCCTTCTTTTGAGAAGTATATGTTCATATCCTTTGCCCACTTTTTGATGGGGTTGTTTGTTTTTTTCTTGTAAATTTGTTTGAGTTCATTGTAGATTCTGGATATTAGCCCTTTTTCAGATGAGTAGGTTGCGAAAATTTTCTCCTATTTTATAGGTTACCTGTTCACTCTGATGGTAGTTTCTTTTGCTGTGCAGAAGCTCTTTAGTTTAATTAGATCCCATTTGTCAGTTTTGGCTTTTGTTGCCATTGCTTTTGGTGTTTTAGACATGAAGTCCTTGCCCAAGCCTATGTCCTGAATGGTATTGCCTGGGTTTTCTTCTAGGGTCTTTGTGGTTTTAGGTCTA
Source organism: Homo sapiens (assembly GCF_000001405.40). Classification (NCBI taxonomy): domain Eukaryota; kingdom Metazoa; phylum Chordata; class Mammalia; order Primates; family Hominidae; genus Homo; species Homo sapiens. The sequence goes on along the minus strand of NC_000003.12, from coordinate 166,355,467 downwards.
ACATGTAAGTCCTTAATCCATCTTGAATTAATTTTTGTATAAGGTGTAAGGAAGGGATCCAGTTTCAGCTTTCTACATATGGGTAGCCAGTTTTCTCAGCACTATTTATTAAATGGGGAATCCTTTCCCCATTGCTTGTTTTTCTCAGGTTTCTCAAAGATCAGATAGTTGTAGATATGCGGCATTATTTCTGAGGGCTCTGTTCTGTTCCATTGATCTATATGTCTGTTTTGGTACCAGTACCATGCTGTTTTGGTTACTGTAGCCTTGTAGTATAGTTTGAAGTCAGGTAGCATGATGCCTCCAGCTTTGTTCTTTTGGCTTAGGATTGACTTGGTGACGTGGGCTCTTTTTTGGTTCCATATGAACTTTAAAGTAGTTTTTTCCAATTCTGTGAAGAAAGGCATTGGTAGCTTGATGGGGATGGCATTGAATCTGTAAATTACCTTGGGCAGTATGGCCATTTTGACGATATTGATTCTTCCTACCCATGAGCATGGAATGTTCTTCCATTTGTTTGTATCCTCTTTTATTTCATTGAGCAGTGGTTTGTAGTTCTCCTTGAAGAGGTCCTTCATGTCCCTTGTAAGTTGGATTCCTAGGTATTTTATTCTCTTCGGAGCAATTGTGAATGGGAGTTCACTCATGATTTGGCTCTCTGTTTGTCTGTTGTTGGTGTATAAGAATGCTTGTGATTGGCTGGGCTCGGTGGCTCACGCCTGTAATCCCAGCACTTTGGGAGGCTGAGGCGGGTGGATCATGAGGTCAGGAGATCGAGACCATCCTGGCTAACAAGGTGAAACCCCGTCTCTACTAAAAATACAAAAAATTAGCCGGGCGCGGTGGCGGGCTAATGACTGTTCTCCATAGTGAGTATATTAATTTACATTTTCACCAACAACGTACCAGTATGCCCTTTTCTCTACATCCTCACCAGCCTTTGTTATTGCCTATCATTGAATATAAACCATTTTAATTGGTGTAAGATATCTCATTGTGGTTTTGAGTTGCATTTCTTTGATTATCAGTGAAGTTGAGCACCTTCTAAAATGCTCGTTTAGTGTTTTTATGTCTATTTTGAGAAATGTCTATTTAAATATTTTGTCCATTTTTAAAATCCGTTTATCAGATTTTTTCCTTTAGAGTTGTTTGAGCTCCTTATACATTCTCATTATCAATCTTTGTCAGATAACTAGTTTGTAAATATTTTCTCCCATTCTGTGGCTCTGCACTTTGTTCATTGTTTCCCTGGCTGTGCAGAAGCTTTTTAACTTGATGTGATCCCATTTGCCCATTTTTGCTTTTGTTGCCTGTGCTTTGTGTGGTATTACTCAAATAATTTTTGCCCAGGCCAATGTCCTGGAGATTTTCCCCAAAGTTTTCTTGTAGTAGTTTCACATTTTGAGGTCCTAGATTTAATTCTTCAATATATTTTGATTTGATTATTGTATATGGTGAGAGATAGGTGTCTAGTTTCATTCTTCTGCATATGGATATAAAGTTTTCCCATCACTATTTATTGAAGAGACTGTCTTTTCTCTACAGTAGGGAAGAAGTATCAAAAGTGAGTCCACTATAGGTTTGTGGATTCATTTCTGGGTTCTCTGTTCTGTTCTATTAGCCTATGTTTTTGTTTTTATGCCAGTACCATGCTGTTTTGGTTACTATAGCTCTGTAGTATAATTTGAAGTCAGAGAATGTGATTCTTCCAGTTTTGTTCTTTTACTTAGGATAGCTTTGCCTGTTCTGGGTCTTTTGTGGTTGCATATAAATTAGTTTTTTTTTTCCTATTTCTGTAAAGAATGCCATTTGTACTTAGATAGGGATTACATTAGATCTATAGATTGCTTTGCGTTGTATGGGCATTTTAACAATATTGGTTCTTCCAATCCATGTGCATAAAATGCGTTTCCATTTTCTGGTGTCTTCTTCAATTTATTTCATCAGCATTTTATAGTTTTCATTATAGAGATCTTTCACACTGATGGTTAATATTGAGTGTTAAATTGATTGGATTGAAGGATGCAAATTATTGTTCCTGGGTGTGTCTGAGAGGGAGTTGCCAAAGGAGATTAATGTTTAAGTCAACAATGGACTGGGAGAGGCAGACCCACCCTGAATCTGGGTGGGCACCATCTAGAGAATCAGCTGCCAGCATAGCTAGAATAAAGCAGGTGGAAGAAAGTAGAATGAGCAGACTTGCTGAGTCTTCTGGCCATCTTTCTTTTGTGCTGAATGCTTTCTTCCCTCAAACATCAGACCCCAAGTTCTTAGCTTTTAGGCTGTTGGACTTACACTAGTGGTTGGCAAGGGGCTCTGGGGCCTTTGGCCACAGACTGAATCCTGCTCTGTCAGCTTTTCTACTTTTGAAATTTTGGAACTCGGACTGGTTTCCTTACTCCTCAGCTTGCAGATGGCCTACTGTGGAAATTCTTCTTGTGACTGTGTGAGTCAATGCTCCTTAATATACTACCCTTCATATATATACATCTATTCTATTAGTTCGGTCCCTTTTGAGAAGCCTGAATAGTACAGATTTTGGTACTGGGAGTGGTTCTAGAGGAACAGAATTTTAAGGATAAATTTCGTTAGTTTTGGGTTTTGGAGTTGGCAGCTTAATATAATTAGACCCAAAAATGCTAAGGACTCTACTTTTAATAGCATGTAGAACACTCATAGTCCTTGGCGGTGTAGACAGTTACGCAAAATAAATGCATTCAGTACTCCTGATTCACCACTCATGAGTGGCAAGGAGTTTAATGACTCTATGTATAATACCTTTGACCATATGTGGAGAACCAAAGAATATAATGAATTCGGTTGGTTGCTCCTAAGTTCACTAGACAAAGTAATGAAATAAAAGGATGAGCTTAAGGATTGTAATTCCTGGCTCCAGAGGCACAAACACAGCCTCAAGTCTTCTAAGATTGCCTCGAGTGAGAGGCAAATATAACTTAGCTTCTGCAGACAAAGGGCTGAAATTGTGGAAATCAGACACAAGCTCTTATCATGCCAGGGGTTGACCTGCTAGGAAAGGTGCACACTCATTCTTGCCAGGTATATTCTGTTAAAGTGACGGCATTGATAGGAAAAAAATGGGACTCTGCAACTTGTACTGGCGATGTGTGGGGGAGCCCTGATGAAGCTGGGAGCACTGAGCTTGTAAAGTCTGATGAGCCTTATTTGCCAGAGGAAACAGCCTCTCCACTGCCAGTGGTGGCAATGTTCCCTTCCTCACCCATGCTGCCATCAGCCTTTCTGCCTTTGTCTGAGGTGAAAAACCCTGTGCTGCCTAAGGCAACAGTGATGGCCTCCCCTGAGGCAGTTTCCCGGCAAGACAATGCTGATTCTCTTTAGGACCTACCCCCAACACCCCTGTTGGCTTCTAGACCTATAACTAGACTTAAGTCCTGGCAGGCCCCTAGAAGTGAGATTCAGAGTGTGATCCATGAGGAACTGTGCTACACTCCAAAAGTACTGCTTGAGTTTTCTAATTTATATAAGCAGAAGCCTGGAGAACAGGCATGGGAATGGATATTAAAATTATGGGATAATGGTTGAAGGAACATAAATTTAAATCAAGCTGAATTTATTGATATGAGGCAACTAAGTGGGGATTCTGCATTTAATGTTGCAGTTTGGGGAATTAAAAAAGGTTCCAATAGCTTATTTACTTGGTTAGCTGAAATATGGATCAAAAGATGGCCCACTGTGAGAGAGCTGGAAATGTCTAATCTCCCTTGGTTTAATATAGAGGAAGGGAGCCAAAGCCTTAGGGAGATTGGAATGCTAAAGTAGATTAGTCACATTAGACCTACTCATCGCAGCTGCAAGGCTCCAGAGGACATCCCCTTCACCAATAGTTTGTAAAATAGATTTGTGAGGGGAGCCCCTGCATTCTTGAATAGCTGTGTGATTCCTCTTCTTTGTATGTTAGCTCTTACAGTGGGAACCATAGTCACTCAATTAGTAAATTTAAATACAATATGAATAATTGGTTCCTGAGGTGGCAGGGTCAAGTGGCAGCACTCAACCATCAAAGTCAAGGTGGGCATAACTCCTGTAATGGACAGCATAAGCAAAGCAGAAATCATAATAGTCTGACCTGTGTAGAGTCCTGGGATTTGTTAATTAGTCATGGTGTTCCTGGAAGTGAAATTGATAGGCTAAGGACTCCACTACACTACTCACAATTTATGCTGTTAATCTTTCTCCTATCCTTTCAACAAGAGACCTCCAGCCTTTTTCCAGGGTAACTGTGCATTGGGGGAAGGAGAATGATCAGACCTTTCAGGGACTACTGGACACTGGCTCTGAGCTGATGCTGATTCCAGGGAGCCCAAAACATCTTTGTGGTCCTCCAGTTAAAGTAGGGGCTTATAGAGGTCAGATAATTGATGGAGTTTCAGCTCAGCTTTAACTTACAGTGGGTCAGGTGGGTCCACAGACTCATCCTGTGGACATTTCTCTAGTGCCAGATGCATAATTTGGCTTAGACATACTTAGTAGCTGGCAGATCCCTACATTGGCTCCCTGACTAGTAGAGTGAAGGCTATTATGGTGAGACAGGCCAAATGGAAGCCATTAGAGCTTTTTTTACCTAAAAAATAGTAAGTCAAAAACAATATTGCATCCTTGGAGGGATTAAAGAGATTAGTGCCACCATTGAGGACTTGAAAGATGCAGGGGTGGTGATTCCCACCACATAACCATTAAACTCTCCTATTTATCTTGTGCAGAAGACAGATGGATCTTGGAGAATGACAGTGAATTATTGTAAACTTAACCAAGTGGTTACAATCATTACAGCTGCTACACAAGATATGGTTTTATTCCTTAACAAATTAACACATCTCCTGGTTCCTGGTATGCAGTCTTGATTTGGCAAATGCCTTTTTCTCCATTCCTCTTACTAAGGCCCATCAGAAGTGACCTGCCTTCAGCTGGCAAGGCCAGCAATATACCTTCACGGTCCTACCTCAGGAGTATATCAATTCTTCAGCTTTGTGTCACAATCTTGTTCACAGAGATCTTGATCACTTTCCCTTCCACAGGTTATCATGCTGGTCCATTACACTGGTAACATTATGTTGATTTGATTTAGTGAGTGAGAAGTAGCAAACACACTGGACTTATTGGTGAGACATTTGCATGCCATGGAATGGTAAATAAACATAACTAAATTCAGGGACCTTCTACCTCAGTAGAACTTCTAGGGGTCCAGTGATTTGGGGCCTGTCACAACGTTACTTCTAAGGTGTATTAGTCCATTTTCATTCTGTTCATAAAGACATACACAAGATGGGGCAATTTACAAAAGGAAGAGTTTTATTGGATTTACAATTCCACATGGCTGGGGAGGCTTCACAATCATGGCAGAAGGTGAAAGGCAAGGAGGAGCATGTCACATCTTACATGGATGGTGGCAGGCAAAGAGAGAAAAGGGAGCTTGTGCAGGGAAACTCCCATTTTAAAACCATCAGATCTCATTAGATACATTCATTAGACTCATTAGACATATTAGAAGCAAACTTCTGCCTGGACATCCAGGCATTTCCATACATCCTCTGAAATCTAGGTGGAGGTTCCCAAACCCCAATTCTTGACTCCTGTGCACCCTCAGGCTCAACACCATGTGGAAGCTGCCTAGGCTTGGGGCTTCCACCCTCTGAAGTGACAGCTCAAGCTGTACCTTTGTCCCTTTTAGTCACAGCTGGAGCAGCTGGGCCATAGGACACCAAGTTCTTAGACTGCACACAGCAGAGGGACATTGGGCCCAGTCCACAAAATCATTTTTTCTCCTAAACCTCCAGACCTCTGATAGGAGAGACTGCCACAAAGGTCTCTGACATGCCCTAGAGACATTTTCTGCATTGTTTTTGTGATTAACATTTGGCTCCTAGTTACTTATGCAAATTTCTGCAGCAGGCTTGAATTTCTCTTCCAAAAAAAAAAAACAGGTTTTTTTTCTATAGCATTGTCAGGCTGCAAATTTTCCAAAGGTTTATACTGTTTCCCTTTTAAAACTGAATGCCTTTAACAGTACCCTGGTCACCTCTTGAATTCCTGGCATCTTAGAAATTTCTTCGGCCAGATACCCTAAGTCGTCTCTCTCAAGTTCAAAGTTCCACAAATCGCCAGGGCAGGGGCAAAATGCTACCAGTACCTTTGCTGAAACATAAGAAGAGTCACCTTTGCTCCAATTCTCAAGAAATCCTCCTCTCTGAGACCATCTCAGTCTGGATTTCATTGTCCATATTGTTATCAGCATTTTGGTCAAAAACATTCAACAAGTCTCCAGTGAGTTCCAAACTTTCCCACATTTTCCTGTCTTCTTCCGAGCCCCCAAACTGTTCCAACCTCTGCCTGTTACCCAGTACTAAAGTCATTACCACATTATGGGTATCATTTAGGCAGCACCCAACTCTACTGGTACCAATTTACTGTACTAGTCCATTTTCATGCTGCTGATAAAGACATACCTGAGACTGGGCAATTTACAAAAGAAAGAGGTTTATTGGACTAACAGTTCCACATAGGTGGGGAGGCCTCACAATCATGGTGGAAGGTGAAGGGTGAGGAGGAGCAAGTCACATCTTCCATGGATGGTGGCAGGCAAAGAGAAAAGAGAGCTTGTGCATGGAAACTCCCATTTTTAAAATCACCAGATCTCATGAGACTCATTCATTATCACAAGAACTGCACAGGAAAGACCCACCTCCATAATTCAATCACTTCTCACAGGGTTCTTCCCATGGCATGTGGGAATCATTGGAGTTACAATTCAAGATAAGACTTTGGTGGGGACACAGCCACACCGTATCACAGGTGAAGGATAAGTTGCTGCATTTGCCCCCTCCTACACCCAAGAAAGAGGAACAATGCCTACTGGGTCTATTTGGACTTTGGAGGCAACACATTTCTCATTTGGGTGTGTTACTCTCACCCATTTATCAAGGAACTTGAAAGGCTGCCAGTTTTGAATAGGGTCCAGAACAGGAGAACGCTCTGCCGCTTGGGCCCCATGACCCAGCAGATGATTCAATGGTGCTTGAGGTGTCAATGGCATATAGCAATACTCTTTGGAGCCTTTGGCAGGCCCCCATAGGTAAAGGACCATGGAGGACTCTAGGATTTTGGATCGAAGCCCTGGAATCTTCTGCAGATAACTGCTCTTCTTTTGAGAGACAGCTCTTGGTCTGTTACTGGGCTTCAATGGAAACTGAATGTTTTTGACTATAGGTCATTAAGTCACCATGTGACTTGAACTATCATGAGCTGGGGTGCTTTCTGACCCTTCTGACCATAAAATGGTGTGTTTGTAGACTGATATCATCATCAAATGGAAGTGATATATACGTGGTTGGGCTCAAGCAAGTCTTGAAGGCACAAGTAAGTTACATGAGGGACTCAAATGCCCATGGTCTCCATTCCTGCCACCCTGCCTTCTCTCCTCCAGCCTACACCAATGGCCTCATGAGGAATTCCCTGTGATCAGATGACAGAAGAAGAGAAGACTAGGACCAGGTTTATAGATGGTTCTGCATGATTTGCAGGCACCACCCTAAAGTGGACAGCTGAAGCACTACAGTGCCTTTAGATGCTTCGTGCAGTATTGTTCCTGGGTCTGTCTGTAAGGGTGTTTGTAAAGGAGATTAACATTTATGTCAGTGGACTTGGGGAGGCAGACCCATTCCATATCTGGGTGGGCACCATCTAATCAGCTGCCAGCATAGTTAGAGTAAAGCAGGGAGAAGAAAATGGAATGAGCAGACTTACTGAGTCTTCTAGCTTTCATCTTTACCCTGTGCTGGATGCTTCCTGCCCTCTAACATAAGGCCCCAAATTCTTTAGCTTTTGGACTCTTGGATTTACACCAGTGGTTCACCAAGAGTTATTTGGCCTTTGGCAACAGACTGAAGGCTGTACTATTGGCTTTCCTACTTTTGAGGTTTTGGGACTTGGATTGGCTTCCCTGCTCCTTGGCTTACAGACAGCTTATTGTGGGACTTCACCTTTTGATCATGTGAGTCAATACTCCTTAATAAACTGCCATTCATATGTATGTCTTTCCTATTAGTTCTGTCCCTCTAGAGAACCCTTACTAATACAGATTTGTTTTTCTAGGTATTTAATATTATGTGTGGCTATTGTGAATTAGATTACTTTTAAAATTCTTTTCCCCATTGTTTCTTGTTGGCATGTAGAAAGGCTACTGATTTTTCTACAATGATTTTATATTCTCCAACTTTATTAATTTGTTTATCAATTCTCATAGTTTTCTTGTGAAGTCTTTATGTTTTTCCATGTATGATAACATTATCTGCAAAAAAGGATAATTTGTCTTCCTTTATAAATTAGATGCCCTTTATTTCTTTAACTTCTCTCATTTCTCTAGCTAGGACTTCCAGTACTATGTTTAACAACAGCGGTGAAAGTAGGTATCTTTTTTTGTGTTACATATCTTTGAGGAATGTGTTTCAGTTTTGTTCTGTTACGTATGATACCAGTTGTGGGTATTTAGTATGTGACTTTTATTATGTTGAGGTATGTTCCTTCAATACCCCGATTTTTGAGGGATTTTATCATAAAGAGATGTTAAATTTTTCTAAAAGCATTTTCAGCATCAATTGAAATGATCATATAGTTTTTGTTTCTCATTCTGTTGGCATAATGTATCAAATTGATTCATTTGTATATTTTAAACCATCTTGCATTGCAGAGAAAAGTTTCACTTGTTTATGACAAATGGTAGTTTTGATGTATTGTTGAATTTTATTTGCTAATATTTTGGTGTGGATAATTGCATCAATATTCATCAGGGATACTGGCCTGTAGTTTTCTTCTTCTTTCTTTCTTTTTTTTTAATGTGCCTTTGTCTAGTTTTGGTTTCAGAGTAATTCTTACTTTGAGTAATGAATTTGAAAGTATTCCCTCCTCCTTGATTTTTTAGAAAAGTATAACTAGGCTTGTTATTAGTTCTTCTTTAATTGGTCGTATTCAGTAGTAAAACTGTTCATGTTCCAGGCATTTCTTTACTGGGAGAATTTTTATTATGGCTTCAATATTGCTACTTGTTATTGGTTTGTTCAGGTTTTGAATTTCTCCCTTCTTCAGTTTTTGTAGGCTGTATGTGTCTAGGAATTTGTCCACTTCTAGATTTTCCATTTATCTGGCATGTAGTTACTCAAGGTATTCACTAATAATCCTTTGAGTTTCTGCAGTATCTGTTGTACTGTCTCATTTTTGTCTCTAGATTTTTTTATCTTGATCTTCTTTCTATTTTCCTTAGTTTGGCTAAAGGTTTGTCAACTTTGTTCAACTTTGCAAAAAAACAACTTTCTGTTATATTGATATTTTGTATTGTTTTCTTCATTTCAATTTCATTTATTTCTGTTCCTCTGTTCTTTATTTTTGTTGTATTCTACTAATTGTAGGTTGCCTTTGCTCTTGCTTGTCTAGTTCTTCAAGATGCGTGGTTAAGTTGTTGATTCAAAGGTTTTCTTCTATTTTTATGTAGTTTTAATTTTTTTATCACTATAAACTTTCCTTTTAGTGCTGCTTTTGCTGTGTTTCATAGGTTTTGATATGCTGTGTTTCCTTTACCCTGGGTTTCAAGAAATTTTTCAATTTTCTGATTAATTTCTTTATTGACCTGCTGGCTATTTTAGAGCAAATTGTTTATTTTCCATGTGTTTGTATATTTTAAAAAATTCCTCTTGTTGATTACTAGTCTTATTCCATTCTGTTCAGAGAAGATGCTTATTATCTTGTTTTTTTTTATTGTTTTAAGGTTTGTTTTGTGACATAACATATGGTCTATTCTTGAGAATGATCCATGGGCTGAGGACAAGAATGTGTATTGTGCGGCCATTGGGTGAAATGTTCTGTAAATATCTATTAGGTTCCTTTGATTGATAGTGCAGATTAAGTCCAATGTTTGTTGATTTTCTGCCTGGAAGGTCTGTTCAATACTGAAAATGGGATGTTAAAGTCTCTAGGTGTTGTTGTATTAGGGTCAATCACTCTCTTTAGCTCTAACAATATTTGCTTTATATATCTGGATGCTCACATGTTGGTTGAATATATATTAAACATTATTATATTCTCTTGCAGAATTGACTCCTTTTGCATCATATAGTGGCCTTTTCTGTTTTTTCTTATAGCTTTTATCTTAAAATCTATTTTGTCTAATATAAGTATGGTGACTCCTGTTCTGTTTTAATTTCAACTGGCATGAAACACCTTTGTCTATCCCTTTATTTTCAGTCTATATATGTCTTTACATGGGAAGACTGTTTCTTAACCACAGAACCTTGGATGTTATTTTTCTTATCTAGACAGCAAGTCTATGTATTTTTATTGAAGTGTTTAGTTCATTTATATTCAATGTTATTATTGATAAATAAGGACTTACTTTTGCCATTTTGTTATTTTTTTCTGCTTGGTTTTTGGCCAGCCTGCCTTTATTTTTTTTTTTCTCTCTCTGTCTCTTTCTTTCTTTCTCTTTTCTTTCCCTTCCTTCCTTCCTTCCTTCCTTCCTTCCTTCCTTCCTTCCTTCCTTCCTTCCTTCCTTCTTTCCTTCCTTCCTTCCTTCCTTCCTTTCTTTCCTTTCCTTTCTTGCCTTCATTTTAGGGACAGTTATTTTCTCTGGTGATACAATGTAGTTTCTTTTTATATGCTTTTTGTGTCTCCTTGTATGTGTTTTGCTGGAACTTTCTATGAGGCTTGAAAATTCTATCCTGTAAACTATGACTTTAAGCTGATAAAGCACTGTTTGCACAAACAACCAGCCAAAAAAATAAATAAAAGCTCTACACCTTAACTTCATTTTCCCACTTGTTAAATGTTTGCTCCCTCTATTTATATCTTAATTGCTATGTCTTTAAAAGTTTTTTAAATTTGCTTATTGTTTAGAATTTCTTCTTAAGATAATAGTAATTAAACACAATAGTTACAGTATTGTAACATTTTCTGTTATTCTGTCTACTTGCTATTACCAGTGAGTTTTCTACCTTCAGATTACATCTTCTTGCTCTTTGACATCCTTTTATTTCTGACTGAAGTACTATCCTTAGCATTTCTAATTGGACAGCTGTGGTGTGGATGAAATTCCTCAGCTTTCATTTGTCTTGGAAAATCTTCATTTTCCTTTGTGGTTGAAGGATATTTTTCTCAGATATTCCATTCTAGGGTAAAAGCTTATTTCCTTTAGCACTGTAATACATCATGCCACTCTATCCTGGCCTGTAAGATTTTCACTAAAAAGTCTGCTGAAAGATGTATTGGAGCTCTATTTTATATTATTTGTTTCTTTTCTCCTGCTGCTTTTAGGGTCCTTTCTTTATCCTTGACCTTTGGGAATTTGATTATTAAAAGCCTTGAGGTAGTCTTTGGATTAAATCTGCTTGGTGTTCTATAACCTTTTTTATTAGGATATTGATATTTTTCTCTAGGTTTGGCAAGTTGTCTGTTATTACCCTTTGAGTAAACTTTCTACCCCTGTCTTTTTCTCTGTCTCCTCTTCAAGGCCAATGACTCTTAGATTTGCCATTTGAATCTATTTTCTAGATCCTATAGATAAGTTTCATTTTTTTTTTTTTTTGAGACAGAGTCTTGCTCTGTTGCCCAGGCTGGAGTGCAGTGGTGTGATCTTGGCTCACTGCAAGCTCCGTACCCCGGGTTCACGCTATTCTCCTGCCTCAGCCTCCTGAATAGCTGGGACTACAGGTGCCCCCCACCATGGCCAGCTAATTTTTTTGTATTTTTAGTAGAGAGAGGGTTTCACCGTGTTAGCCAGGATGGTCTCGATCTCCTGACTTAGTGATCCACCTGCCTTAGCCTCCCAAAGTGCTGGGATTACAGGCTTGAGCCACTGTGCCTGGACTATTTTTTATTCTTTTTCTTTTGTCTCCTCTAACTGCATGTTCAAATAGCCTGTCTTCAAGCTCACTAATCCTTTCTTCTGCTTTATCAATTCTGCTATTAAAGGACTCTGCTTCATTCCTCAAGATGTCAATTGCATTTTTCAGTTCCAAAATTTCGGCTTGATTCTTTTTAATTACTTAAATCTCTTTGTTAAATTTATCTGGTAGAATACTGAATTCTTTCTCTTTATTATGTTGAATTTATTTTAGTTTCCTCAACACAGCTATTTTGAATTCTGTGTCGAAAAGATCACATATCTCTTTTTCTACAGAATTGGTCCCTCTTGCCTTATTGATTTCATTTAGTGAGTTCATGTATTCCTAAATGATCTTGCTATTGTGGACATTTTTCTGTGTCTGGGCATTGAAAAGTTAGATATTTGTTGTGGACTTCAGAGTCTGGGCTTATTTGTACCTGTCTTCTTGGGAAGGCTTCTTGCAAACTTGGGGTACTGCCTTGAAGGTTTTGAACAAGATCTGGATCACCAGGCGGAGTCTCTTGTTCTCTTCCCTTACTTTGTTCCAAATCAATAGAGAATCTCTCTCTCTCTGCTCTGAGCCATCTGGAGCATTCCAGTGGCCAACATCGCTATGACTGCCCTGGGTTTACCATGATGTTAGCACAGCAGTGGGTCTCACCAAATACCTGCTGTAACCACTCCCTGGCTTTCACCTGTGTTTGCTCAAGGCCCTAGAGTTCTATACTCATTAATTAGGTGATAAAGCCAGCCAGACCTTTGTTCTTCCTTTTGGGGCAATGAGCTCTCTCAGGCCCTGAGTGGGTCAAGAGCTGCCATCAGGGGACCAGGGATTAGTTAAAAACCTTAGAAGTCTACCTGGTGTTCTAATGTACTGCAGCTCAGCTGGTACTCAAACCACAAGATGCAGTCCTTTTCACTTTTTCTTCCTCTTTACAAAGGCAGAGGAGACCCACCCTGTGGCAACCATCACCACAGACCCATGGGAAGTACTGCCAGACTATCACTGATGTTCCCTTTAATCCCAGGGACACTTCAGTCAACCTGTGGTGAAAGCTGACTGGCCTGGGACTCTCCCTTCAGGACAGCGAACTCCCCTCTGACTCAGGGCAGGTCCAGAAATGCCATTCAAGAGTCAATTCCTGGAATCAATGACCCCAAGAACTTACTTGGTTCTCTACCCCACTGTGGCCAACTTGGTACCTAAAGTGTAAGGCAAAGTCCCTTTTACTTTTCCTCCCACTTTTCTAAAGCAGAATGAATCTCTCCACATAACTACCACAGCAAAAAATGTGCTGATTCTCACCTGAAGCCAATAAGTCTGAGTCTGACCTAAGGCCTTCAACATAGTACATGGGTGTCACTGCTAGTTTCTCCAGGGTAGGGTTTTTTTAGTTAGTAGGTGATGAAGGTTGTCAGGACTGGGTTCTTTCCTTTAAAGCAGAAGGTTCTCTTCTGGTCCACAATGTGTCTATAAATGTTATCCCAGAGAAAGGGCCTGAAAAGAGGGTCTACCTACTCTGACCAGTACCCTATTCTGTTATAGGTGAGCTAGTATACAAGATGTAAGACAAAGTCCTCCCCACTCTTCTTTCTCCTGTCCTCAAATGGAAGGAAGGAAACTCTTTTGGAGTGCTGAGCTGTGCAGTCTGGGGTTAGGGAAGGAGTGATGCCAGCACTGCTTTAGCTGCCAAGGATGGTGTTCTAGCAAATCACATTTTCCCCCATTCCCCTGACTCAGGGCCCAGTTCAGCACCAGGATTCTAGGATTTGCAGTCTTTTTGTCCTAGTTGTCTTTCAAGTTTATTTGGTTCCTCAGAGCTCTTTAGCCCACAATAGCAAGGCTTGCAGGAACTCAAGTCTGACTGCTGGGATTGAGGATTTCCCTCTGGCTAAGCCTGTTTTAAATGTTACCTCTGTGGGCAGGCATCAGCTGAATTTGTTCCAGTTTTTCTTTCTGCTATAACAGGGCAGCACTGAGGTAGTGCCTCACAGTTGCTGTTCCCTCACTCTCCCCAGAGCACAGGAACACTCCCTGCACCACTCAGCTGCTGCTGGGGAATATAAGAGGGGTGGCATTTGCCATTCAAGACTGTTTTTCCTACCTCTTCAGTGCCCTCTTTCAGCTATATGAAATTACAACCAGGTGCCATGAGGGCTCATCTGATTTTTGATTCTTATAAATGTGCTTTTTGTCTGAAGATAGTTGTTAAACTGTTATCCTTGTGGGGATAATTGATGGAGCCTTCTATTCTGCCATCTTCATTCATACCGTCCTGACCATTCTTTATATATGTGTATCATTTGAAATTGTACTGTTTATCACACACAGATGTAAAAAAGACTCAAATTTTAATCTGCATTTGGAGAATAACTGCATTAACAATTACATTTAAAAACTGCATGACATAAAAAGATTTTTTAAAGTGTTTTTGTTTACATTCTGCAAGCATGAAAGTTTCTGTTTGAACCTAAATGATGTAAGACATGAGCAATCACTGAAGTCATTGCCTTAATCCCAAATTCACAAAACAATCTATCAATCATAACAAAATTCTTGCTTTATTGTCTGTTTACAGCTCCATAAAGTATTAGATTAGTGATCAAAGATCACATCTTTTGATGCTGACACCAAAAGACAAATACCAGAAGAATTTACACATGGGGAGGAACTATCCTTCAGATAACAGACTGACATCCTGAAACATAATAATGGTGTATGACAATTTGAAGTGTGGGGTCCTGACTATATTAAATACAGGGTTCAGGGAGTTGTAAGTCATTTATGGTAACTGGCTTGTCAAGGTGACATATCTTGTCAAAGAAAGGTTGGAAAAGAGAAGCCTGTGGTAAATGAAGACAGACTTTATATTTTATCAATATTTCCAACCCACTGAGTTGATATTTTTTTCATCTTTATATACTAATGATAAAAGGAATTCAGATTATAAATTACATTTATTATAAATATTTCATAAGCATTGTAGACATATTTTTATAGACTATAAATATTTATTTTCTTTTCCTCAGAAAATGTTACACAGAAACTCAAATCTGAATGATAAAACCAAGCTTTGAAAGTCCCTTTATTTATTTCAATTTTACAAAATAATATATAATCATACTCACAAACTTGAAAACATTTCTGACATTTTAGTTTACTTTTCATTTGTAAATTAGTACAATATAGAACATTTAAAAATATTTACTCTAGGAGAGCAAGTTCTCTTTGCTATTCAAGGAGAATAAGGCAGCTATCCAAATACACAGCTAATTTTATAGCTTTCTCATAAAGCAATTTTGATTCACTTCTTGGATTTTCTATTTTTTTAAGAATATATGTATATCCAGAATTTTAATGATGACCTCATAAAATTGCTCATATGAAGACATTATTGAAACTTGTATATAATATAAATACCTGATTATATATATACACTTACGTGCTTAATATATTGAGGTACTGATCACATACCATATCAGGATAAATGTTCTTTACTATTAATAACATACATATATCACATTTACTCAGACCTATGGGCTCATTTGTATATTAACAATATTATTTACCCAAAATGAATTTTTTTACTTTTTTATTATTATTCATTTAATTAATATGTGTATCATGGGACAGTCTGCATTTAAAAAACTATTTGGTTAATCATTTGTCATTCACAGTCCTACAGAAAAAAGAAACCAACTTTTACTGATGAAGACCAAATGATGCATTAAAATGTAACTGTAATTTCAAATTTTAAACTTATTGCTTAATAATTCCCTACCTTAAAGAAAATGGTGGAGAAAAGAAAGTAGGGCAAACATATGAGAATAAAATACCATATTCTTTTTATTCAGCAATTTTTAGTGAAGTACACAAATCTGATAGTATAAAGGTAAAATTTTAGAAGAAACAAGCTACAAGATTTTTAAATTCGAACAGTTTTCTATTTCATTTTCAAATGGTCCACAGACATACACATTCCTCATATACTAAGGCATTCATGCAAATGCTTAAAGTAGAATTTTCCCTCTCTTTTTTATAGATATAGAATAGAAGTAAGGTAAACTATTCTCTCTTTAACGTAGAAGTGATGAAAAATGCATGTGTTTGTGCATACACACGCACAAAGAATAGAGGAACACTAGAAAATGGGATTTTTGAAAGAGTAGGAAACAGGGATCCAGCTGAGTTAATAAAGGGCAGTTTAAGTGCTCAAGACTATATTTGGAAACTAGATAGTCATGCCTCTTATTGACAAAGATATGTTGGTAAGCAACTTTGTCATTGCACAACTATCATAAAGTATACTTACATAAACCTAAAATGTACAGTCTACTAAACACCTAGGCTATAAGGTAAAACCTATTGCTCCTAGGCTACAAACCTGCAGAGAATGTTACTATTCTGAGTACTGTAAGCAACTCTAATACAATAGTTCTTGTGTATATGAACATAGAAAAGTTACAATATGATAAAAGTTTTATAAGATCGCTGTCAAATATGTGGTCTGTCAAGTGTTAATATTTAATGATTGCAGGTTTAAAATCATTACTTCTCAACACAAGCTACATTTTATGTTCAATTTTATACAAGCAATGATGCAAAGATCTCACACTAGAGGTTTTGATTCATTGATCCTAGTATGTTTATGAGACACTGTCTAGCCAGGGAGTTAATAATGTAGGCCATTCTCCATTCTTATAGATAGATGATTACTTGAAGACTGCATAGCAAAAAACATTTAGAACAAAAATTGATACTCGTCTCCTCTTAGCCACCCAATAGGTGTGTGGCACTGACTGAGAGCTTGTATTTTTCTGGGGGCAGGAGAGGCTTAGCTTCCTCATGCATAAAACAAATAGTTTGAACTAAGTTACGTTTAAATTATGTAAAAATTGAGCTCTAAAATATCTTATCATTTATGTTTCTGAACATTTATAACATTTCATGAGAGCCCAGAAACAAGAACATTACATGTAACAACTGCAATATCAGTTGTTGATTTGGCTTATTTAATAGAAACACCTTGCTCAGAAAGTTATCTACATTCAGAATATTGTTTTTCTTTTTTTTCTTTTTTCGAGACCGAGTTTCACTCTGTCACCCAGGCTGGAGTGCAGTGGCGCGATCTCAGCTCACTGCAAGCTCCACCTCCTGGGTTCAAGCCATTCTCCTGCCTCAGCCTCCCAAGTAGCTGGGACTACAGGCACCTGCCACCACGCCTGGCTAATTTTTTGTATTTTTAGTAGCGATGGGGTTTCACCTTGTTAGCCAGGATGATCTCGATCTCCTGACCTTGTGATCCGCCCGCCTCAGCCTCCCAAAGTGCTGAGATTACAGGCGTGAGCCACTGCGCTGGGCCAGAATACTGTATTTTTTATAGAAGAGAATTATGATGAAATGTAAAAATTATATTTGGCATCATAAGACTTGTATAAATTTCAGCTTTACCTTTTGCAATCTCATACATTCTTGTGTATTTGACCTTTTTAAGTTTGTTGTTCTTATCTTAAAAATGCTAAATGGCATAAGTGAATACACCATGTGTATTTTATGTAGCATAATCATTCAGAGAGATGTTTTGAATATAGATGACACTGTATGTTTAAATAATTTTATAAAATTGTTAGAGGTACTTTTAATTTAAAGTGAGTTTTTAAAGAAGGGATAGAATATGAAATTCTGAAGATGAAAAAAAGGAATGTTTAGATTGGTAGACAAGTCATTTGGAACTGCTATTTAGTAAATTTCAGCTTTGTACTTTCAAGGAAAGATTAATCTACTGTAATTCCAGTGGAGAAATGTAATTTTTTGTCCACTGTTGGTGGGAATGTAAAATGGTATGTGTAATGTGAAAAAACAGTATAGAAATTTATCAAAAATTTGAAAATGAAATTACTGTATGATACAGCAATTCCACTCAGTATATACCAGAAATAAATGAAAACAATGTCTCAAGGAGATGTTTGTACATCCATATTCATGGCAGCATTACTCATAATAGTTAAAATGTGGAAGTAACACAAACCCAAGTGTCCATTGATGAATAAATAGCTAAGCAAAATGAATAAATAAGCAAAATCTGGTATGTATGTATGTATACACACACAAACACATGCACACGTACACTCATATACATATATATATATACACACACACACACATCATGGGATACTCTTTGGCCTTAAAACCCAAAAACAAGTCTCATCCAATAACCTTGAAGAAATAATGCTAAGTGAAATGAGCCAGTCACAAAAAGAAAAGTACTGTATGATGCCACTCATTTGTGATACTTACAGTATTTACAATCGTAGAGACAAAAAGTAGAATGGTGATTGCAAGAGATGAGGGGAGGGAGGAAAGAGGAGCTATTGTTTAATGAGTATAAAATTTCAGCTTTACAACATGAAAAATGTTATAGAGATGAATAGTAGTAATTTTTTTTTTTTTGAATGGAGTCTCACTCTGTCCCCAGGCTGGAGTGCAGTGGCACTATCTCAGCTCACTGCAAGCTCCACCTCCCGGGTTCACACCATTCTCCTGCCTCAGCCTCCCGAGTAGCTGGGGCTGCAGGCACCTGCCACCATGCCTAGCTAATTTTTTGTATTTTTAGTAGAGACAGGGTTTCACCATGTTAGCCAGGATAGTCTCGATCTCCTGACCTCGTGATCTGCCCACCTCGGCCTCCCAAAGTGCTGGGATTACAGGCGTGAGCCACCACGCCCGGCTGATGAATAGTAGTAATTGTTATACAACATTATGAAAGAAATCAATACCATTGAACTGTATGATAAAAAATGATTAAGATGGTAAATTTTATGTTATGTACTTTATCAGAATTTTAAGAACTGGAAAAAAATCCTGCTAAATAGCATGAAATGCCTTTAGACATTTGAGTGACTATGTAAAATAGGCAATTAATTATACCAATATGGTGGTCAGAGAAGTAGCTTGGACTGTGTATAGACATTTGTGTTGATGTTGCTATTATCTGGACTTCATTTATTATTGTTCATAACATTATATATATTATATTATATGTGTATTTTTTAAAGTCTCCATATCAATGACTCTGACTCCCTAAGGAAGAATAAACCATGTACCATAACATTAATGTTTAATAAGGTTAATCTAAATCAAATGACCATTCAGTGTTTAGAGTATTTTAGGAGAAATTTGAACATGATAATCCATCTATGTTCACTCTTTTCATTGTATTAAAGTTAGAATTTTTGACGTTGGGAAAAGGTGTTCAATTATAGTTGTTGAACAAGTAAACCAACCTAGTGCCATATGTAAAAAGCGGTTAATGGCATCACTAATGCACTCTTAACAAAATTCCAAATCAAATCCACAATGCCCAGAAATTGAGCCATTTCTGACACCATTGTGTCCCTCTGAACCCTTTTACATGAAATGTGTAGCTCTCAGGAGCCTGGGTATTTTACAGATCTTACCATTTTGTCCTCTCACTCTATGGATCATATTACTTGTCCAATAACTCTGGTGTTTATAAGAATCCTGAAAAAAATAATCAGAATATTTTTTAAAATTTTAATTGTCTCTAAAAAAATCAACTCTTCACGAGCTAATGCTGAAGTTTTCTGCATTTATTGAGGGAAGCAATCTCATGGCTACAAAATAAAGGGTGAAGTGTATACACACATGCACATGTATAAAATGGAAGATACTAAACTCATTTATGGAATTGAAACTTATGGAATTTTAGTCTAAAAACATATTTTCTTTTTCAGGGAAAAAAATGTTATAATGTAGTCTCTTTCCCTGGAGATTTAAACTCTAGAGTTAGTTTTGCCAATTAGCTATACATTCATGCTAAATTATTCAACCTTTCTGGGACTCTGTTTTCTCCTCTGTTAAACATTATGTTGATTAGATCAATGATTTCTTTCATGAGTGACACAGAAGAATTACTGAGGAACTGATTTTTAAAATTTGAGACCCAGACTCAGATCTCGTAAATCAAGTCGAGCCCCGTAAACTTATTATTATTATTATTGCTATCATTATTATTTTGAATTTCAAAGGTAACTGAAATGAGCAGCCCTTTTTGAGAATCCTAGACTATAAATTACTCCTGTTGTCTCTGGTTTCCAACATTTTAGCAGTCTAGAAATGTAAGAGAACATATGTATCACTATAATGTAAAATTACATGCTTCAGTTGCTTGGTTTCTTTTGAGTCCATGATATTTTCACCTTTTTGAAATGAAAATAATGATAACATTGAATGTTTATACATACAATTTGATTTGAACCAATTTTTCTAGGAAATATAGGGCCTACAAATGAGGGCTACGTGTGTGTGCAATGCCTGTATACTTTCAGTCACTAGGATTTTGAGACATTTAAAGCCATATAACTTCATAATTTCATTAATTTAATATTAATGCATTTGTTAAAATATATCATAGTTTAAAGAATGAATTATACCAATTCTGGAAGCCTAGTCTACTCAAAATTTTTAGATAATTTATTTTCAATTCATTTATCTGTGACAGCATATATGGAAATACATTTTTAAAAAAAAAAATGTAACTAATCTAACCTAGAGTATAATCCCCATATCTTCACTTGAGTTTGTTACAAGAGAGTTATTTAATTGTGCTGTCATCATCATTTTATATTTGCTCTAAAATCCACTAAAATTTTAATTAATTTAAATATAACTATTGAATCTACCATACTTTCATTTGTACCCAAATATGAACTACAATATTTTAGTCTACTGTGAAAGAAAATGTTATGTCCTTTATCCTTAAATCAGTTATGAAAAAAATCACATATTTGTGTATAAACAGCAGAGTATATATTGAATGATCAATTTGCTTCTCTGTGTGAAGAACAGACAGATCTAAATGTCTCGTGCATTCATAGAAATAAAGAATTACTTGCATGGTATTTGAAAAGGTTGCTGAAGCTCCATGAGGTGGTCATCATTAAAGGAGAGCCCAAAATGAAAAGCTCTCAAAAATGTATTGGAAGAAAGGCATATTTTACTCTATTTAGCATTTATGCAGCGTTTTTGAAAAGTGCATTTTTATTAGAGTCTCCTCATAACAATCTCATGAGCTTCATCTTGTGGTATTATGCTCACTTAGAAATGGATAAATTAAAGACCAAAGAAGCCAGGCATTGCTCAAGGTCATGTGGTAGCCAGGCAGCAGAAGAAGCCCAAATTACCACTCTAAGACCTGACATTTTCATCATATTATTTTTCTTCCATGAACCATACTATCCATTTTTTCCTCAGAGAAAGCATTTTTAGCTACAATCAGAAATATAGCAGTTAGATGTAAGGTTGGTAAATTACAGACAACTATTTTCAAAAAGGCAAACAATGACAAACTGTCACAATATAATTTATGAGTCTAAAATCTGTCCTTAAGCTCATAGCAACACTTCTAATCACATACATAACAGCTTATTACTTTTAAGGTCATTTTGTACCTAGAATATCTGCTTCTTTGGGGGAAATTCAGAATAAACATGATTCCAAGACAGAAAATGATCATGCAAATTACAAAACAAGCAAAAAAGCAATGCTGAAAGTAAGTCAAGAAAACTAATAGAAAATGCTAGGTTTCTTAAATGTTAGAATAGTATATTTCCTAGGTTTTACCGTATCTAATATGACTTTATGATGTGTTAGTGATCCTGAAGTATTAATAGAGCACTAAGATAAATTCTAGTTTCTGCTGTGCCAAACAAAAATCCAAGAATGCCTGCCTATTAGCTTTATTCATTTATGGAAGAAGCATGACCATAGTAATGTTTCTTGTAATGGCACATTTTTATATTGATCTGAACAAATGTCTCTCTCAACTTTTGGCAGTACTCATATGTCTGCAAACACAGACCTTGAAATTATTTTTTGTTTGGGTATAGATGCTTTTCCATTTTGGATTCTAGTTTTATTTCTTAGAACAACTGTTTTTCCTGGGCCTAGTTTTATTCATTAGATAAGATGTGCCCTGGAGCAGGAAGACTGAAACAATTAGTCCTCATGGAATTACTTTTTACTCTTGATATTTCTTCACAGATTTTTATTATTGGGATAATGCTTTTCTATGCTTGATTGTGTTTTTTCTTTCCCTTCTCTGCATTTATTTTGGAAATTGCCAGCTCTTCACACAAATGTTGAACTATATAAAACTTAAAACATAGTTTCAAACAATAATGATGTGCCAAGCACATACCTCATGACTGGACTTTGATTTTCTAAAGGAGGATTTTTAGCCTTAGCACTACTGCCATCTGGGCAAAGATAACTCATTTTTATGGGAGAGGCTGTCCTATGCATGGTGAATTGTTTAGCAGCATTTCTGACTTCTTAGGAGATTCCAGGAACTCTATCCCTCTTCTCCCTATTCCCAAGTCCTGAAAATAAAAAATATCTCCCGACATTGATAGCAGCAGGAGGCAGACAAATCCCTAGGCAGATATGGGTGGGTCCCTGATGAAACCAGACCTTCAAACCAAAGACAGTTTAAAGCCTGAAAGCCAGGCTACAAGTCTCAGATAAATCCATGGATCAGATTGAGAACCTCTCTTCCCATTTAGTGTGCTTTTTCCCAGATTGATCCCCATTCCATCTACTTGAAATATATACCTACCCTTCCCTAATTGGTTTTTTACACTGTTGTGCCTAGCTTTGTGTGATGACTTTGTTTTAACCTTTTTTGCATACTCATAAACCAATCAGCACACACTCCCCTTTTCTGAGCCCGTAAAAGTCCTGGACTCAGCCACACTTTGGGACTACCCACCTTCAGGTGGGCGGGACTACCCAACTTTGGTTGGGAGGGACTACCTGCCTTTGGGTGGGGGACCACCCACTTCGAGTCCCCTCTCTATTGACAGCTGTTCTGTCACTCAATAAAACTTTTTTCCACCCTTTTCACCATTTGGTCGTCAGCATAACCCCATTCTTGTATGCTGGACAAGAACTCAGTACCCACCAAACACAGGTACAAGAAAGGCTGTAATACTGTAGCCCTCCATCCTGCGTGGGTGCCAGGCAGTCACTCCACATGATGGGAAACAACAGCGGGGCAGGTCAGCCCTGGAACTGCTGGCTGCAGTGGGGCAGAAGGACTGAATGAGCTGTAGCACTCTGTAACACTCACTTTAGGGCTTCAGGGTCACTGGCACTTCCGAGTTTTTCAAGCACCACTGTGTTCTCCTCATCCACTTACCAGCACCCAAGGCAAAGCAGATTGCTGCATGCCCATCCCAGCTGTGGGTGGAATGTGAGCTTGGGATCTAGACCAGAGCAGAAGGCAGGTGTTCCCTGCTTTTGTCCTATATCGTCAGATTAAAGCATTTTCTCTACATAATAAGAGTAAAATGGGTTTGAAGGTTGAATGACAACAGTGTTACTACCACTGTTTTTAATTTGAGATATAATAATACATCTATTTTATACATTGGGGTGTTGAGTTTAAGATTTGTAATAATTTAATGCTAAGGATCTGTGCTTATAACATGAGGTTTAAAAATGAAAAATAATAGCTATTAAACCAATAAAACAAGACATGCCAAAAGTTATTCTTCAAAATAATTTAATAAACATGCTGCTCTAGGAGGGCCAGATCCATCATATATACAGCTGTTAACTCAGTAGGCCCTTGTTTATGCTTTTATATGCCAGAAAAAAAAATCATTTATCAACGAATGGTTGTAATCTAATAGTCTGATATTTATACATTTACCCAAATAAAAATATATGCCTCTGTGTATGTGTGTCTGTGTGTAGAGTCAACATTACCCAAGTAAAAATGTATGTCTCTGCGTATGTGTGTCTGTGTGTATAGTCAACATTTAAGTATAGAAAAGTTACAGTTAAATTTTTAATTTATGGCTTTCTTTTTACAAAAATACAAAAGTCTGGCAATATTGAACTGATACCTTCACTAAGTATCTATAAGCTGGAACGAAACAACAGCTATACCCCTTATAAAGATGGGGCAAGTGAGTTTTCCAGCTTGACAGTATCTCCTTCACTGATACTGTCATATACCTGTCTATTTGCAGATTTAAGTTACCTACTAGTCCCTGTAAACATTTGTGTAAGCCCAATTTCTTCTCTGGAAAACCTCTAAATCTGATCCAAGAATACAAGCAGCAACAATAAAATTAATATCCAATAAGAAATTTTCTTCAGCCCTTGTAGTGATTCCTTATATTTGATAAGTTAATATGCCAGAGCCTATGACTTTGGTATATTAATTTATTTTCTATTATTTTATTGTATGCTTTATCAATTGTGTAACATGTATTATTTCAGTCATAGGTCAACAATATTTATTGAATACCTATTATGTGCCAGGGATCGCATATATGTCTTTCACTGTAATGTGTCTGTAATTTCTTTTTGGAAGATACGGATAATCAAATATAGCCCAGAAATAAAGCATTCAGCCAATAGTTTTTGAATTGGACAGTTGACAATATTCCTGTTTTTTCACTCCTTTCCAAAATTGCTTAAAGCCACTGCCACAGTCTTAATATCCCGAATATGTTCACCTCAGAGAACAAACTGGAACTAATCTGTGTGGCTCTGATATGACTTGTTAAATGGCAAGGTCATGTCTGAAACAGTCCGCTTTCCTTGAGTGCACCTTCTTGGTGAGCCCCTTGGGCATGTCAAATTCAATTTATTGAACACTGACATAGAAGGTTCAGACACTTCACTGTTATACAACAATATATTTTCTAAATGTAATTGTATTAGTTACCCAAACTGTGCAGAAATAATTAACATGTAGTTTTAACTTAAAAGATAATGTCAGTGTGTTTTATCTGTGCCTGTAAAACCTGAGTTTAACATTATAAATTTGCTGAAAATTTCAGTTATTACTGTGTAGAATGCACAATTTCAAGAGAAGTCACTCAAATGCTCTCAATGTCATATTCTATCAATACTTAGGATACTAGCTAAAACATTGTCAAAATATAGAAAACAGTAATCCAGTAATATTCATCTTTGCATCTCCAGAGTCCAGCATAATTTCTGTCTCACTGTAAATGCTCCAAAAATTTGCTAAATATGTTAGTGATCTTGAAAATGTATCACCCATGGCAACATTTTTTAGCTTAGAATCTAAATCAGTATCATACCCTTAGTATGGAATACCTTTGGTTCATTCCTAACCGAGCTTTTGCAGCTCTATTATTATTAATATTTTCTATTGAATTAGAATTTTTAATTTTATAGATGTGAATGTTATTATAATATTAGAAACTTGAAGGCAAAAAATATTGTTCGTTTATGTACCATTGCCATTTAAAAGGGTAGTATACAGAAAAAGCTCCACTTAGTATTTATGAGCTTGCTTTCTGAATCTCCTGTGAGGATATACTTATTCACTCTTTTTTGTTAAACTTATTCAAAAAATGTTTATTGAATATAGTGTACCAGGTACTACTATGTATGCTTATTATGCATTGGTATACATACTAGAAAAACATTTCTGTGCTTTGAAGTCTGCATTGTAGCAGATGAAGGAAATAAAAATAGAAAAATATGGTTAATTTTTTTGTGTAAACTTGAATGGGCTAAGGGATGGGTCAGATGGAAGGAAAAGCATTATTTCTAGATGTGTCTGCAGAGTTCTTTTGGAAGAGTAAAAGAACTCTTTTTGCAGAGTGTACCCTGAGTAAAAAAGATCTCATTCACTAATGTGGGTAGGTAACACTGATGTGTTGAGGGCCTGAATAGAATAAAAAGGTGGAGGAAAGGTAAGTTTACTCTCTGTGCTTTGAGCTAGGATGCCCCTCTCCTGCCCTGAGGTATTTGTGCTTCTGATTCTTGGGCCTTCAGATTTAGATGAGGATTTATGCCATTGGCTGCCTGGCTTTCTGGCCTGTGGGTTTGAACTTTTAAACTACGCTATTAGCTTTCATGGGCCTGCAGCTTGCATATAGCAGATCCTGAGGCTTCTCAGTTTCCATCTCATGAGTCAATTCCTCATGATAAATCTATCTTTTTCTCTTTGTCATTTGGTTTTCTTTCTTGGGAGTCTTCTAAATAATACATATTGTCATTGAATAATATGGTTATGATTTGTGTCCTCACCCAAATATCATCTTGAATTATAATCCCTATAATCCTCATAACACCCACGTTTTAAGAGAGATACCAGGTGGAGGTAATTGGATCATGGGGGCAGTTTCTCCTTGCTGTTCCCAAAATAGTGAGTGAGTTCTCACGAGATCTGATGGTTTCATAAGGGGCTCTTCTCCCTTCTCTCAGCACTTCTCCTCCTGCCACCTTGTAAAGAAGGTGCCTTGATTTCCCTTTGCCTTCTGCCATGATGATAAATTTCCTGAGGCCTCTGCAGTGATGCTGAATTATGAGTCAATTAAACATCTATCCTTTATAAATTTCCCAATCTTAGGTATTTTCTTTTAGCAATGTGAGAATGGACTAATACACACTCCTATGAGTGTTTGTGTGGATAGATAGATAGATAGATAGATAGATAGATAGATAGGTATTTGATTTATGGTGATTTATGATTTGATAAGAGTGATTTATGATTTGATAAATATTTGATTTATGGCTTTTTCTTTACAAAAATACAAAAGTTTGCCAAGATTGAACTGATACTTTAAGTATCTATAAGCTGAAACTAAATAACAGCCATACCACTTATAAAGATGGGGCAGGTGAGTTTTCCAGCTTGACAGTATCTCCTACACTGATATTGTCATATACCTGTCTGTACATTTAAGTTACCTACTAGGCCCTGTATACATTTGCATAAACCCAATCTCTGCTTAGGAAAACCTCTACATCTGATCCAAGAATAAAAGCAGCAACAATAAAATTAATATTCAACAATAAATTTTCTTCCGTTTCCTTGGATGCTTCCTTATATTTGATAAATATTTATATATTACATGATACTTTTTCTCAGGTGGTCAGAAATGATAGATATAAATTTAAGTAAATATACCCAAAAATGTGAAAGCAACATTGGAACTGGATAATGAGCAGAGGTTGAAACAGTTTGGAGGGCTCTGAAGAAGACAGGAAGATGTTTGGAGTTTGGAATTTTGGAATTTCCTAGAGACTTGTTTCATGGCTTTGACCAAAAGGCTGATAGTGCTGTGGACAATGAAGTCCAGGCTGAGGTAGTCTCAGATGGAGATGAAGAACTTATTGGGAAATGAAGCAAAGGTCACTCTTGCTAAGCTTTAGCAAAGAGACAGGCAGAATTTTGGCCCTGCCCTAGAGATTTGTGGAACTGTGAACTTGAGAGAGATGATTTTGTGTATCTGGTGGAAGAAATTTCTAAGCAGCAAAGCATTTAAGAGGAAGCAGAGCATAAAAATTTGAAAAATTTGCAGTCTGACAATGCCACAGAAAAGAAAAACCCATTTTCATGGGATAAATTCAAGCCTGCTTCAGAAATTTGCATAAGTAACGAGGAAATGAATGTTAATCACCAAGACAATGTGGAAATGTCTTCATGGCATGTCAGAGATATTGGTGGCAGCCTTCCCGTTACAGGCCCAGATGCCTTGGAAGAAAAGGAAGAAAAAATGGTTTTGTAGGCAGGGCCCATGGTCCCCCAGCTCTGTGCAGTCTCAGAACATGGGGCCCTGCATCCCAGCTGCTTCAGTGTCAGTCATGGCTAAAAGATGCCAGGTATACCTTGGGCCATTGCCTCAGAGGGTGCAAGCCCCAGCCCTTGGCAGCTTCCATGTGGTGTTGAGCCTGTGTGTGCACAGAAATCGAGAAATGAGGATTGAGAACCTCCACTTAGATTTTAGAGGATGTATGGAAATGCCTGAATGTCCAGGCAGAAGTTTGCTGCAGGGGCAGAGACCTCATGGAGTACCTCTGCAAGGGCACTGCAGAAGGGAAATGTGGGGTCAGAGCCCCCACATAGAGTCCCCATTGGAGCACTGCCTATTGGAATTGTGAGAAGATGGCTACTGTCCTCCAGATCCCAGAATGGTAGATGCACCAACAGCTTGCACTGTGCACGTGGAAAAGCTTCAGACACTCAATGCCCGTCAGTGAAAGCAGCTGGGAGGGTGACTGTACCCTGCAAAGCCACAGAGGTGTAGCTGCCCAAGGCTATGGGAATCCACCTCTTGCATCAGTGTGATCTGGATGTGAGACACGGAGTCAAACAAGAGATCATTTTGGAACTTTAAAGTTTAATGACTACCCTATTGGATTTTGGACTATTGTTACATTCTGGAACCAATATTTCTTCACTATGATTAAACCTTTAAAATTGAAAATAAAATATATTATAGGTATAAATGATATACCTAATATTTCTGTGTATTCTATTTATGTTTTCTTATGTTTTAGGAAGATATAAAGCGTTGAACATCTTTAATTTGTGAAGCTCCTCTTATTCACAAAATTCCCCTAACATGTCCTATCCCTGTGACAATAGTGCTAAAAGCCTTTTCCTGTGAACAGCTGGATCCTTTCAGTTAGAAGCTTTACAGGTTAGGACTTTAAATACATCAATCTTTTCTCAATCTGGTATTGGCATTTTGCTGTGTATTCCTAACTCACTTTGTCACCAAAGCCACAATTAGTGACTTAAGTTTAAAATCAATTCTGTTCACCCACAGTTAAGATGCCTGGTAATGTACTATTTTCATGCAGAGTTTATGCCACTGATCAATGGCCTTTTGCCATGATAAGTGAAATTGAAAGGATTTAAAAGGAAATGTCCTAAAATTGTATCAATAATAGAGAAACTACCAACCAAAATAAAAGCTTTGAACCAGATGGATTCACAGTCCAATTCAAGCAGACATATAAAGAACGGATACCAATCCCAGTGAAGCTATTCCAAAAAATCAAAGAGGAGGGGCTACCCCCTAATTTATTCTATGAAGGCAGCATCAACCTGATACCATTATATGGCAGACACACAGTGAAAAAAGAAAACTTCAGACCAATTTCCCTCAAGAACATATTAAGTTGGTGGAAAAGTATTTGCAGTTTTTGCTGTTACTTTCTTTTCTTTTCGTTTTTGAGATGGAGTCTCCCTCTGTTAGCCAGGCTGGAGTGCAGTGGCATGATCTCGGCTCGCTGCAACCTCCACCTCCCAGGTTCAAGTAACTTTCCTGCCTCAGCCTCCCAAGAAGCTGGGACTACAGGCGAGTGCCACCATGTCCAGCTAATATTTTTTTTTGTATTTTTAGTAGAGATGGGGTTTCGCCAGTTTGGCCAGGCTGGACTGTAACTCCTGACCTCAAGTGATCCACCCTTCTCGGCATCCCAAAGTGCTAGCATTACAGCTGTTAGCCAACACCCTCAGCCAGTTTTTGCTATGACTTTCAATGGCAAAACCACAATAACTTTTGCACCAGCCTAATAGATACACAAATCCTCAACAAAAAGTACTAGCAAATCAAATCCAGTAGCATATCAAAACGTTAATACACGACAATCAAGTAGGCTTTATTTCTGGGATGCAAAGCTGGTTCAACATACAGAAATCAATAAATGCGATTCACCACATAAAAAGAATAAAAAGCAAAACCCACATTATCATCTCAATAGATGCATACAATTTTTTCAGTAAAGTCCAACAGCCTTTCTTGATAAAAACCCTCATCAGACTAGGCATCAAAGGGACATATCTCAAAATTGTAAGCACCATCTATGACAAGCCTATAGCCAACATTATAATGAATAGCCAAAAGCTTGAACTATTTGCCTTAAGAACTGAAGCAACACAAGGACACCCACTCTCATGACTCCTATTCAACATAGCACTAGAAGGCCTAGCCAGGACAATTAAGCGAGAGAAATCATTAAAAGGCATCCAAATATGAAAAGAAGATGTCAAACTATCTCTCCTCACTAAACATGTGTTTCTATACCTAGACAATCTTAAAGATTCTGCTATAAAGTTTCTAGAATTGATAAACAAGTTTAGTCAAGTATTAGGATACAAAATCAATGTACAAAAATAAGTAGTATTTCTACACACAAACAATGTCCAGGCTGAAAGTAAAATGAAGAACATAATCCCATTTAAAATAGCCACAATGAAAATGAAATACCTAGGAATATAGCTAACCAATGAGGAGAAAAATCTCTACAATTAGAATTACAAAACACTGCTGAAAGGAATCAGAGATGACACAAATATATGAAAAAAATACTGTGTTCATAGATTGGAATAGTCAATATCATAAAAATGACCATACTGCCCAAAGCAATTTACAAACTTAATACTATTCCTCTCACACTACCAACATTATTCTTCACAGAATTAGAAGAAAACTATTCTAAAATTTAATATGAAACCCCAAAAGAGCCCGAATAGCCAAGCACTTCTAATCAAAAAGAACAAAGCCAGAGGCATCATAGTATCTGACTTCAAACTGTACTGTAAGGCCACAGTAAGCAAAACACCTTGTTCCTCGTTCAAAAAGACACATAGACTAAAATAACGTAATACAAAGCTCAGAAATAAAGCTGCACACCTACAACCGTCTGATCTTTGACAAGACTGACAAAAACAATGATATAATGACTGCATATTCAATAAATGGTGCTGAGATAAGTGTCTAGATATATTCAGAAGATTGAAGTGGACCCTTTTATTTCACCGTATACAAAAATTAACTCAAAATGGATTAAATATTTAAGATCTCAAGCTATAAAATCCTGGAAGACAACCTAGGAAATACTGTACTCGACATTGGCATTGGCAAACAAGTTTTGGCTAAGTCCTCAAAAGCAATTGCAACAACAACAAAATAGACAAGTAGGGCCTAATTAAACTAACGAGTATCTGCTCAGCAAAAGAAACTATCAACGGGGCAAACAGCCAACGTACAGAATGGGAAAAGATATTGGCAGGCTATGCATCTAACAAAGGCCTTATATCTAGAACCTATAGGGAACTGAAACAAATCATCAAGCAAAAAACAAAGAACCCTATTGAAAAACAAGCAAAGGACATGAACAGACACTGCTCATAAAAAGACATACTAGTGTCTAACCAACATATGAAAAAATGCTCTGCATCGCTAACCATCAGAGAAATACAAAGTAAAACTGTAGTTAGATATACCATCTCATGCAAGTCATAATGGCTATTACTAAAAAGTGAAGGAACGACAGATGCTGATGAAGCTGCAGAGAACAGGAAACATACCCTGTTGGTGGGAGTGTGGATTAGTTCTGCCACTGTAGAAAGCACTTTTCAAAGAACTTAAACAGCTACCATTTGACCCAGCAATCCTATGACAGAGTATATACCCAATAGAAAATAAATCATTCCACCAAAAAGACACATGCGTTCATATGTTCATCACTGTGATAGTCACAATAGTAAGAAACATGGAAATAACCCAGGTGCCAATTAATAGTAGACTGGATAAAGAAAATGTGGTAGATATAAACCACGGTATACCATGAAGCCATAAAAAAAGAATGAAGTCATGTCATTTGAAACAACGTCGATGGAATTGGAGGCCACATCCTAAGCAAAGTAATGCAGGAACAGAAAACCAAATACTACATGTTTTCATGTATAAGTGGGAGCTAAGCATTAAGCACACACAGACATACATATGGGAACAATAAAGACTATCAATTACAAGAAGGTAGGGTGGTTTAAAAACTACATTTTGGGTACTATGCTCACATATCTGGGTGAAGGGATCTGTAATCCAAACATCAGCACCATGCAATATTCCCATGTAACAAATTTGCCCATATAACCCTTCTATCTAAAATGAAAGTTGGAAAAAAAGAGAAAAGGCTGAAATCTTGTTGTGATGCCAATGCTACATAAAGGTGGCAACACAATTAATAGTGCTATTCATGAATTGCTTAGCGACAGAACATTTTATTTTTGAACATTTTGGTATTTTTGTACTAAAAAATCATGAAATATGTAAGTTACAGATTTTATTTTGCTTTAAACCTAGAGTAAAATAAACACTTTATTTTTCTAAATAAAGATAACCCTACTTTTCTAAATCATATTTAATCTAACTTTAAAATACCAATTCTACTGTGGTGAAAATATCAATCTCAGTTATCCCTATGATTTCCATTACTTCTTGTAAGAATCTCATACTTAAAAGATTCAAACAGTTGGAAAAGATCCTTCTTGTTTTTAATCTACAAAGTTTAGTCATGTATTAGTTTTTCCAAATCCACATAGACTTGCAAATTTGGTTGGCTCTATGATGTTATGCTAAACTGAAACTAGATGGAAACCCTTTTTCTCAAAATGAGTCCCCCTAAATTAGCAGCTCTATCTTGAGAATGTTTTCCCTTCCCCTGTTCTATTCCTGCTGTGTCCACCTTTCCTAGTAAATCTCTCCATTCAGGCTTTCTGTGGAAGAATACAAAACATCTTCTTTCTACTGTTCTTTACAAACAAAATGTGGGTATGTTGGTCCCATTTTTATGTAGAGTGAAGAATACAGACATAATTGTTTTTTCTCATTATATCTATACATATGTGTATACTAATATCATCTCATTTCTTAAAATTTGATATATTGATTCTGATTTTGTCTTCTATGACCACCACTTTCTGAACTCCTTTCCCTCTTCCTTGTGTTGCTAATCATGTGGGCTTATTTTTACTATAAAATTAATCCAATGAATGAACAAGACCCTAGAAAAAACAGAAACCTGTATGGTATACCATAGATGCTGATAATAAGAGCCCCTGATGTTGGAGAACTGTCCTCACAGCTAGATCTCAACATTAAATGTATTATTATAAACTGATCTAGCATTCACAGGTAGGCTTCAATGTTATTCCAAAGTGATATGAGGCTTACAGGTATATAATATTGTCATACTGTTGGACATAAGCAATATTACAGAACAGCTATAGCAAATGAAGTCACTCTGTGATCATGAAAAAGAGAAAAAATGAGATCAATGTGCAGCCCATAAAATACCAAACATTCCTTTCCCTCACTAAAGTAG
Source organism: Homo sapiens (assembly GCF_000001405.40). Classification (NCBI taxonomy): domain Eukaryota; kingdom Metazoa; phylum Chordata; class Mammalia; order Primates; family Hominidae; genus Homo; species Homo sapiens. The sequence goes on along the minus strand of NC_000003.12, from coordinate 166,322,585 downwards.
TAGTGACTACTACTTCTCACGTAATCACAGGTTCATTCTTGTTCTGATTACCTCTCCCTATAGATAAGATTTATTGAATTCCTGGTTATAAAGTTGAAGCCACTTTCTGACAACACCCAATCAACAGCAAAGCCCCACATTTATCCAACCAAATCAAAAACTCTACAACAAATTCTTTTTAAGACTGTCCTTCTGGGATGCCCCATGGTTCTCTATGGTGTATATTCTCCCTCACTGCTATCAATAGTAAACTCAATTTATTCAATTATATAAGTTCCTGGGTGATTCTTGACTGAGGGACATTTACAATGTAAATCACTGTATTATTCCAAACCGAGAAATAAGCCATTGTTAATTTTACAAGGGAATCATTGAGCATTCAGTGAGATCAATCTCCAAGTAATCCCTCTGCCAGAAAAATTGCACCATGCAATCCATTCTACAAACTAACGATTTAGCTGTCTAAAATAAAGTCATAAATATGTTACTTCCATGACAATTTGACTTCTAGAATTTAACATTGCACACAGTAGCATTGCTCCTAATATGCTATTCAACATCTATATGCTGGAAAGTTATGAATACAAGTTACAGAAAATTTATAAATATGTTGATGGTAATCATTAAATTGAAGAATAATATGTTTATAAGTAAAATGCACAAATCTCGAGCCTACAGCTTGATATATTTTTACAAAATGAATATGTTTGTGTAACCACATCAAAATATAGACGGGTACCCAAATTTTTGAAGCTTCCTTCAGGTACCCATCCCAATGTAACCCCTATTCTGTAACCCCTATCTAGAAAGATAACCCCTATTCTGAATTCTATTATTAACATACAATTAAAATTTTCTATTTGTTTTGTCTGTTTTGAATGTTTATAAATAAAATGAATTTTTTTAATTTTTTTTGTCTCTAGCTTCTTTCATTCAAATATAATGTCTATAAGCTCCATCTATGTTCCTCTATGAAGCAGCGATTTGTTCATTTAACTGTTGTATAATATGCCATTCTATGAAAATAGTACAGTGTATTTTTCCATTCTACTTTTGATGCTACTTATTATCAGCATTTATGGTATACCATAGAGGCTTCTGGTTTTTCTAGAGTCACATTAACTCATCTGAATAATTTGATAGTAAAAATAAACCCTCATGATCAGCAACACAAGGAATAGGGAAAGGAGTTCAGAAAGTGGCGGTCATGGAAGACAAAACCAGAATCAATATATCAAATTTTAAAAGTACGTTGGGTTATTCTCAGTTTGAGGCTATTGCTAATAATGTTTACATATTTGTATACATGTTGTTGTTTATGTGGGTATACTTACGTTAAATATAGACCCATGGATGGAATCACTGAATCTTAGGTTTTGTGTACATTCAGCATTAGAAGGTAATGCTAAAGAGTTTTTGGCAGTGTTTTTTATTTGTTTGGGTTTGGTTTGGTTTGGTTTAGTTTATCTGAACCAATTTTACCTTCATACAGGTTTATGTTATAGTTACTTCACAATGCCAATCATTTTCTTCTAATATCTGTGTTTTTAACTTTAGCTATTCTAGAAAATGCATAATGGAATTTCATTGTGGATTTGGACTTTATTAATAAAAAGTTGAGTATATGTTCATATAGTAATTGACATTTTAGTACTTCTCGAAGTATTTCTTTAAGTATTTTCCCACTTCGTATTGGTTGTCTTTACTAATTTTTTATTTGTAAGAGTTTTTTATGTGATCTTTTTGAGATTTGAAAGAATAATATATTCTGTGATTGTTGAGTACAATGTTCCATTTAAACCAGTTGCATAAATGTTGTTAGTTGTATAGTTCAAATCTCTTGTATATCTCCTCATTTATTATACGATTTTTTTGTTATGGAAAGTCATGTTTTAAGATATTCAGCTTCAGTTATGAATGCAACTTTTTTCTATTTAATTATGCTTGTTTTGTTTTATACATTCTAATTCTGCTGTAGTAAGTAGACACAAATTTAGAAAAGGTTTTATTATCTTCTTGGATATATTAGAGTTATTTTTGTCCAAAACTATATATTTACTCTTCATTTTAAAAAGATATTTTTACTGTGTATTAAATTCTATCTAGATTGACAGTCTTTTTCCTACACTTTTTAGATGTGATCCCAAAGTCATTTGTCTTACATTGTTTGTGATGATAAATCAACTGTCAGACTTATTGCTATTCCTTTTAAAGGAACATATCTTTTCTTAATTTGGTGCTGCTTTGAACATTACCCTGATGCCCCTTTTCCTTTATAGTTAAACAGTTTTATTATAATGTTTCTAGGACTTTTAATTTTTTTTTATTATACTTTAAGTTTTAGGGTACATGTGCACAACGTGCAGGTTAGTTACATATGTATGCATGTGCCATGATGGTGTGCTGCAACCATTAACTCGTCATTTAACATTAGGTATATCTCCTAATGCTATCCCTCCCCCCTCCCCCCACCCCACAAAAGGCCCCGGTGTGTGGTGTTCCCCTTCTGTGTCCATGTGTTCTCACTGTTGAAATCCCGCCTATGAGTGAGAACATGTGGTGTTTGGTTTTTTTGTCCTTGCGATAGTTTGCTGAGAATGATGGTTTCCAGGACTTTTAATTTTTTAAAAATCATTTTCAGTGTTTAAAGCAGGTCTTGAATTTGTGGCTTGATATCATCTACACTTTTGGAAATCCTTAGACCGTATCTCTTCAAATATTGCTTTTGCTTCATTCTTTTTAACTTCTGTAGTAATATTCCAATTGAATGTACAGTAATAATTTTTTCATAACTTGTATTGCATTTCATGTATTTTCTTTGGATTTATTAACCCTTTTTTCTATGCACTACAAATTGTATTGTTTTACACGTATTAAATTTTTATCTTTTGGAATACTAAACCACTTTCTGGACATATACAAATGCCTTTAATGCATATATTAAATTATTTGAGTTATTGTACTTTTAAGTTCTCATTTTTTTATATGTTTGTTTATTATAGGTTACAGTCCTCTAATAAGTTGTTTTATCTTTTTCACATGTTAGTAATAGATATATTAAAACTTATTTGTGGCCAGGCCCGGTGACTCACGCTTGTAATCCCAGCACTTTGGGAGGCCGAGGTGGGCAGATCATGAGGTCAGATGATCTAGACCAGCCTGGCCAACACGGTGAAACTCCCTCTCTACTAAAAATACAAACATTAGCTGGGCGTGGTGGCACGTGCCTGTAATGCCAGCTACTCGTGAGGCTGAGGCAGGAGAATTGCTTGAACCAGGGAGTCAGAGGTTGCAGTGAGCTGAAATCGCGCCACTGCACTCCAGCCTGGTGACAGAGTGAGACTCCGTCTCCAAACAACAACAACAAAAACAACAACTTATTTGTACTAATGCTAATATCTGGATTACTGCAGATTTATCTATTGTCTGTTAATTTTTTTCTAGGACTTCAGCTTTTAGTATATTATTGTTATAACATGCCTGATAATTTTGAGAGGTGAAGCCAGCTGGACTTCTTGGGTCGAGTGAGGACATGGAGAACTTTTCTATCTAAAGGTTTGTAAACACACAAATCAGCACTCTGTAAAAACGCACCAGTCAGTGCTCAGTGTCTAGCTAAAGGTTTGTAAATGCAACAATCGACACTCTGTAAAAATGCACCAATCAGCGCTCTGTGTCTTGCTAAAGATTTCTAAACGCACCAATCAGCACTCAGTAAAAACAGACCAATCAGCACTCTGTAAAATGGACCAATCAGCGCTCAGTAAAATGGACCAATCAGCAGGACGTGGGTGGGGCCAAATAAGGGAATAAACGCTGGCCACTGGAGCCAGCAGTGGCAACCCGCCGGGTTCACCTTCCATGCTGTGGAAGCTTTGTTCTTTCCCTCTTCGCATTTATTATAAATAGAAGGGTTAGTTTGATATCAATCATCCAGCTACAACTTCATATAATTAGCTATTAATCATATTCTGTGCAAACATAATCTCAGAGTTGGCTACAGAAGTCAACATTAGGAATCCAGGATCTTTCTAGTCTAAAATCTTAGTGTTGGATTTGGCGTATAGACTTGCCACCTCATGGTTAATAAGATAACTGCTGTAGCCTCAGCTATAGTGTCCTCGTGTAATCAAATCCAGGACAGGAATAGAATTAAAAAAAAGACAAAGAGAAAAAGGATTTTCACTTTGTAAATTTATCTCCTTTGATAGAATCAAGATTCCAATATTCCTGGAAATTTCTAGAGGACTTTCTTAAAATAAAAATTTTAGGTCCTCTTTTAAGCCAATAATTAGCAAAGAAGAATGGCCTGCTCTAATTAGTTTAGACGAGTTATAATTTATTCACTAGGCTAAGCAATTTGCAAGTGACTGAATATTGGATTCAATTAGCAGAGAAGAAACGAGGATGACTATCCATTAGACAAGCCGGCTGTGACAGAAACCACATTATATACTCAATTCATTTTTCAAATAGCATCTTCTAATCTTACCACCATGTTTCCTATTTTCTGGTTCAGAATTTCTCAGCGTTGAGACTATTGACACTTGGGGCCAGATCATTCTTGTTGTGGGCCTGTCCTGGGTACTGTGAGGTTTACCAGCATCCCTGGAATCTACCTACTAGATGCTGGCAGCATACCCCAGATCATTTGAGAAAACAAAAATGTCTCCAGATATTGCCAAATGTTCTCTGGAGGGCAAAAATGCCCCCTGTCGAAGGCTATTGATATAGGTGTTTTCAGGAGAAGGAAATGAAAAGTGGATAATCTCCATTCTGGTGCAGTTTAAGTACAAGAATTAAGAGTGATAACAGTTTCTGGAATCCAAATATCACATTGTATGTACCTGAGGACATGACAGAAGTAAAAAACCCACAAATATAGAACATATGAAACATCTGTATTTAAAGACACACCCACACACACACAACTGTGAACTGGTGTTCATTAGGAAAAGAGTAACTGAATAAATATATTTAATATATTTCTTGTTGGAAATACAGGTATAACATCAAGAACATAAAATCAAATGTATAAATTATACATGCAAATATTGTTTTGCTAAAATATCTTTAAAATAAGTCATTTTAGATTGAAATGATTTTAGAACTGAATGCAGAAATTGAACATTTGTGAATGAGTATATAAAATATTTATACAGAATCCACATTCTATGCCAATGTTTTCAATTGTTATTCCATGATGTTTGCACCTGTAGCTCAAAACCGCATATAAATTCCAAACAAATACTATTGTATTTTGAATGTGTTCTCAATTTTCAGTATATATTAAAACATTTTTTCCTGCATCACTAGTTTTACATTTTGTGTTAAGTGCACCTACCTTTCACCACAGGCTGTATTCATGCTTAGTAAATCAATTTTATCAATAAGAATTCTTCCTTGCTCAAATTTAATTTATGAAATAAGACAACAAACCCCAAGGACTATATGCAGCTATTGAGAATTTCATTTATTCTGTTCAAATAGCATTCTTCAATTACATTCCATCATTTATGTGAAATTTTTAAGGGAGATGACAATAAAAAACACAACCAATTCAAAAGTACACAGAAGTTAGTTTTCAAGTTTCTGTAGCTAATTACAATTTTACTCTTATAAATTACACTCCTCTGTCTCCATGGTTATTTAGCTTTAAACAGCTTCCTGCTTACACTAGGAAGAAAAGCTATCAAATAGTAAATTTTCCTATTCTTCCTTCTGCCCCAAGGCGGTGAATTTCCCAGGAGCCAATCCACTGGAGACTTTCAGCTTGCAATGGCTTTTGAATGTTCTCTTTTACTCTTGTCCCACTCCAGTGGTTGTTCCGTGAAGCTACTTCTTTCATCTGATCCTCTATGATCATTTGCTATTAAAGGGTTATAGCAGGGGATGAATTAGTCAATCTTTCTCCCTAAAACTTGAGTAGAAGCAACTCTTCTTAGAACAAAACAGAAGAAAATTTACTCAAATCTAAAATGTATTACTTTTATTTACAACAGCATATTACTTACATTATTTTGATGATTGCATGGCTGTCATTTTGTCCTATATGAATTTAACCAAAATTATACTAAACAAATGTTAAGTAGTTAAAACATATTCAATATATATTCCCTCATTTTAATGAAAGAAAAATCTAATTTAGATTCAAATGGCCTAAAAGTTATAGAAATGTTAAAATGCTAGTTTAAAACTTTTAAACTCTAAAAGTGCACAGTTTTGCCATACCAGAATCAACATATGCTAATATTTATTCATAACAAAACAATATGCAGTTTAAACAAGTTTAGAAACAAATTGACTTCCTAAATATTCAAATGCTATTTTTTTGCACTGGTATAAATACTGACAAATAGGTAGGTACTTACATGCGTAGACAATATTGTCACTTACCCTTGACAAAGTACTATTTTATTCTGTAAAATTTAATGCTAAGAATCTTAGGTTCACAAAAAGATGAAGATAATTTTAAAATATTAATTTTTACATTTTGTGTTATGTGCACCTACCTTTCACCACAGGCTATATTCATGCTTATTAAATCAATTTTATCAATAAGAATTCTTCCTTGCTCAAATTTAATTTATGAAATAAGACAATAAACCCCAAAGGACTATATGCAGCAATTTGAAACTGGAATTTTCAAATTGGAAAGGACTATAATGTAGTGGTCAATATAAATTTTCAAGTGCGTTATATTTTTATTAGAGTAGACTCAATAAGTAAAAATAGTGAGATAAAATTTACAACTGTTAAAGAACAGTATTTAATGCATTTAAAGTGAGTAATTGTTGGAATCAATTTGCTATGGAATTTAGATTCTACTGTATACATTTTACAGTAATGAACAGTTTTTTTGAATGTCCTTTAAAAATGCTATTCTATCTTTTTTTATGAATTAAACATAAAAATATACGAATCAATGTAATAACATAGAAAGACAGATAAAAGTATTTCAACATTGCTTGTGGAAGGCATAAGTGAAAAAATGTTGAAGACCTTTGTATGAAGTCTCCCAAACTGTCTGTACTATCTCTCATATGTATCACAACTGCCAGCTGTTCTCCATTCCCATTTCTCTAGAGCCTTATTTTGGGTCCACATTATCTCATTTCTCAGGTTGATTATTAATATGTCTCACAGGAACATCCCTGCATCCTTGCCAGAAAAAAAAATTTGTGTGAAAAATATAAAAAGATGACCATATTATTTGATAATCAATCCTTTACTTTTTTGAAAGCATTTTCCCCTTTTCAAAAATAATTCTGTATGAATACCTAGTTATGAATCTGTGTTATGTATTTTGTTTTAAAGCCATAGCAATGGGTTAAATTGAGGAATGATCCCTAAAACTATACCTGTTTTTCCTTCTTCTCACACAATCTAGCAGCCCTTAGAGGCTTTGGGGAATAGATAGATTCTATGAAATATAATTTGAAAACCACTCTTTATACTGATTTGAAATCTAACCTTTGAGAGCTATATGAGAACTTTCATAATCTGACTCCAGGGATATATTCTATTTCATCTTTGTTACTTCACCTGATAAGCCTCTGTCACAGCCATGCATTAAAGGTTTTATTTTCCAAAACATGTTGCTGTGCTGTGCAACTCTTGGACTCTATAAGTGCTTTTCCTCTGCTGAAAATGTCATATTCTTCCTTGTCCTCTATCCTAAATTTTCATTAATACTCATTGCAAATATCTGATGGGACTTCCCTGGTGTATATGTATAATGTATACATATGTGTATATGTATAATGTGTGTGTGTGTGTGTGTGTGTGTGTGTGTGTGTGTATATATATGAGTTAAATATACTTCTCTTTTTACTCCTTCCAAACCATGTTTGTAAGTACATTCTTGGATTTACCATGCTTTTGTTTTTAATCTTCATCTTCCTTGCTACTTCAGATTTCCTGAAAGAATTATGTTCTAATTATCTCTGTGTTTCTAGCAACTAGTAGAGTTCCAGATACTTAGTAAACACTTAATAAATGCCTAAATAATCATGTAAATTTTGACTTCAAAAGGCAGTATAATTTAATTTAAGGAAATTCTCATTATTATTAATTTACTTACTCTTATATAGCCTATAAGATAATCAATATCTCTAACTAATAATATACTACAAATAAAAAATACCAGACACTGTGCTGCAAGTTTTATGTGCACTAGTCATTTAATCTGGCCCATGATTATGAGGTAGGTACAACTATTAATGGCAATCACAGAGGAGCTTGAGGTATCTGCGGCTACCTAAATTTTACCCAAGGTCACATGGCTAGAAGTGACATCCTTGGAACTTAAACATATCATGTCAGACAACTGAACCTGCTTTTGCCAATACTGTCTACTCTATATTAGAGAAGACTGAGTTTATGCTATACTACAGATACCATTTATTTCAACAAAGATTCATAACAAAAGTTGCCAAAATACAATCACATTTGTCTTCAAGGTTTGTCCATTTTATCTCTGTTTATAAAGAATCCTAGCTAATGCTTTTATCATTCAGGAATACTATTTGGAACAAGTCTGGAAGCAGAGCGTCACTGACCTTGGGTAAGCCCCTTAATGATGTCAGAGACAGAATCTTCCTGATTCTGCTCAATGTATTTTTTTCCTTCCTAGTTATAAAATAATTGTCAAACTCCAGACATTAAATCAATGCTTAAGATGGAGAAAGGGGCAGTAATAGTCAAGTCTGTTTCTTTTATCAGAAAAGTAGAAACGTTCCTAGAATATTTATTTACTCCTGCTTTCATCTTATTTACCAAAACTGGGTCACATGGCCACCATTATCTGTGAGTTGAAGTATGTTTTGTTGTTGTTGTTGTAACATCAATTTATATTTTTTATATTTGTTGGTTCAGTTCATAATACTTTATTGCTTTATTTTCCAAGTGTATCATCCTTTAAGGATTCTAGAACTTTTAAAAAGATAAATTTGCTCCCTAAATATGCACCAGACTTATTTTATAATACCATATTACTTAAATATAAGATATTTAATTTATATGCGAAGATTCCTTCCACAATAGTTTCTGCTTCTGTTTAGTTGCCTTGCCAAGTAACAATGACTAACATGTATATACAGACATCTCATTTACATTGAGACTTGATATCAGGAACCTCAGAATAGAGGCAATAACTTAGAAATAGAAAATTATTTTTGACATCCAAGAAAGCTAAGAGCATGCTTATGAACTAAAACTTATACTATTTATGGTTATAGAAATTACCTTGATACCTTATCCAGAAATTCTACCTCAACGTATGTAAATATAAATCATGAATTGTATTTGATTTCCAAGTATAGAATATTGTAGATTCAGAATATTGGAGAAAGACCAACTAGATATCAGCAGAATTACTATCACAGGAGATATAAGATGGAAAAAGAAAGCACATTCAAGAATTATAAAATTATAAAGAGTGAATGCTAGGATTAAGTCTAGTCTTTTGTATTGAAAATTACACACACACATATGTCAGCAAAACATTTTAAGTAATTTTCATCAATATAACATAGTCATTTAATGGAAGTTAACAGCATAGTCAGAGTATTTATACAGAAATCATAGAAACATTTTGAATTTTAGAAAGACTTTTAATAAAAACAGTACATAAAAATTTTGGGCTTGAGTGGTTAAAATTGTTAAATTCCATAATCCATAAATATTTTGTAAAACGCCTTTTTCACTGATAGACCAAGGTGACATTACTATGAGTTTCTTGTAAGTCAAATAAACTCAAGTTAAGGCATGATGTATAATTCCTCATCTGATATTACTAAACAATAAATAAGACTGTTAAAACGAAGGCATGGTAAATTAATTCATTACAGAAATAATGCATCTTATTTGGTATTATAGTGGATAGATTCAAGTTTCCTCAAAGTAATCTGTAAGTTTTCATACATCTACTATGTTAGTATTTTAAAATGTAACAGTCTACATAATGCATTAGTTTAATGTAATTATTATTTATATTCATTCAATTTAATTATATAAAATTGTTAGAATGTTTTCTTAGAGAAATGTTTCATTTTCTAAAAATAAATCATTCACATAAATGACAAAAATAAGAAATTCATTTTAGGTTGTTTTCATACTTTTAGAAATCCCAATTTTTATAATAGCCTTAATGACTGACATTTCAAAGTCACTAAAAAGAAAAAAATATCCTTGGCATTTATTTCTAAGGCTTTACACAAATATGTATATCTACTATCTAGGTAGAATCTCTAAATAGTGCTTGTTTTGTTTACCCATGAAAAGTTTAAAATGAAAACATAGTAACCACTATAAAAATTGCTGCTGGCTGAGCAGTAAGATGTATTGTTTTTATTTTAATTTAATTTTACTTTTTCAAAAAATAACTGAATAGATTTCTAGGAATATTTCATGACATCAACACTCAAACATCAAGGAGCAAACTAAGTAACTTTCTCAGGCTGAAACATGATGAAATAATTAAAGAATGTCAAGGTTTCTCTGATAATTTAGAATCTCAAAAATTTCTACTCTGTTGAAGTATCTGATTGAGATATTAAAATAATGATAGATTGTGTGATTCTTAGGATTTTCTTAATTTTTTGATTAAACAAGAAAGCGAGTTTCCAGTACCACATAGCTGACATTTCTACTCCATTTATTGCCTAAAATATTATATCAGTTATTGGGGGGGGGGGCACAGAAACGGATTTGTTTTTATTTTCTTTTCAGGGAGATTCTCAAAATTATAAATATTGTTAGAAAAAAATGTATAAAATATCCTTTTGCTATAGAGTTGATATTGCCAGTGCAGCATTAAAAATAAGAATTTATTACATTTTCATTATCTTAACAAATAACCATATATTCATAAGTCAATCTATTTTTAATTTATCAATTGATTTTAAATTTTGAGCAATGTATTTTTAAAACTTTAGAAAAATTTAGAATTTCATAATAACTGGACATCTCAATATTTATCTAGTTCATACTCTGACCAAAAAAGTAATAAGAAATATACAATATGTCTATCATTTTTGGGCTGATGTAGATTGGTCTATCTAAAAGAATTTAGACAGAATTATCTTTTAGATGGTTCATAATATCTTGCCCAAAATTTTATTAGAAAACTGTTTTATTTTTTATTTTTTACTTTTTATTATTTTTAACATTTTGTGGGTACATTGTAAGTGTATATATTTATGGAATACATGAGATATTTTGTTAGAGACATACAATGTAAAATAAGCACATCATGGAGAATAGAGTCTCCATCCCCTCAAGCATTTATTCTTTGAGTTACAAATAATTAACGTACATTCTTTAAACTGTTTTAACATATACAGTTATTATCGACTGTAGTCACCATATTGCATTATTAAATATATGTTTGTTTTCTTTCTTTTTTTTTTTCTTTGAGTTCTGAGATACTTGTGCAGAATGTGCGGGTCTGATACATAGGCATACGTGTGCCATGGTGGTTTACTGCACAAAAGCAAAAATATAAAAATTGCAAGTATGTGCAATAATAATTACTCTAAATAAAATTAATGGTCTTAAAGTGACTAGAGAAGAGAAGCAATTTAGCCTAGGGATAGGTGACATAGCCTTCCTGGGGCACGTGGCATTTTAGTTGAGGTTTAGGGAGTAGTCCTGGGGAGTAGGAGCATCCTAAAAACCAGAGGAGTTTACTCACAACAGCTGTCACTAGTGAAGTACTGACCATATGCTCCTATGCCAACATTTATTCAATATTTACATAACCTCATTTAATCTTTACAACAACCTGAGAAAGTTGGGGCATTCTTATCTTAAAGAAAGGGAAAATAAGGCTCTGATAGATTGGATAACTTTTTTCTAGACAACTCAACATGTAAATGATGGCTCCAGAAATTGAAATAAGGCTGTCTGGCTCGGACGATTATGTTCCTTAGTACTCAGTTCAATATCATTATTTAAACATTTAGTTTTTATCTTGTATTTCTTAGCCAGTGACCCATTAGTTCTAAAGAAATAAAGTCAAATAAAATGGAGTTATTGCCTGGAAGGAACTCATTAGCGTGACTCATTCCATCACTATACCTTTGCATCATTGCTCCATTTTAAGTAACTAGAGAAGCCAAATCTGTTAATGGAAAAAAAAAAAAAAGAAAAAAAAAAAGATGCTGGGCGCGGTGGTTCACGCCTGTAATCCCAGCCCTTTGGGAGGCTGAGGAGGGCGGATCACGAGTTCAGGAGATCGAGACCATCCTGACTAATGCGGTGAAACCCCGTCTCTACTAAAAATACAAAAAATTAGCCAGGTGTGGTGGCAGGCGCCTGTAGTCCCAGCTACTCGGGAGGCTGAGGCAGGAGAATGTCGTCAACCCGGGAGGCGGAGCTTGCAGTGAGCCGAGATCGCACCACTGCACTCCAGCCTCGGTGACAGAGTGAGACTCGGTCTCAAAAAAAAAAATAAAATAAATATATAAATAAAAAAAGATGTTCATTCAGTTTTCAAAATATAAAATAGGTATACTTTAGCTCATTGCAATTAACAGTTTGGAGATGTTCTCAATTATTACTTTGTGTAATTCCTTTCTTTCTTTCTTTTTCTTTCTTTCTTTCTCTCTTTCTCTTTCTCTTTCTCTGTCTTTTCTTAGACAGGATCTCACTCTGTTGCCCAGGCTGGACAGTGGCAAAATTATGACTCACTGTAGCCTTAAATATAGTACCATGTATTTAGTATATAGTACCACATATTTAGATAGTCTGGACCTCCTGGGCTCAAGTGATCCTCCCTCTTCAGTCTCCCGAGCAGTTGGGACTACAGGCATGAGCCACAGCATCTAGCTCAACTTTGAGAAATTTTAATAACCTCTCATAACCCTGTATATAAATTATTTCTCTTTATAACATTTAAATCATACTATTCTCTTCCTTTCTTTCATTTTGAAAATTTTGGCTGATTCATTGGCACTTAGAGCTTTCATACCTGACATATAAACTAACAACAACAGCAAAAAAAAAATTGCTGTTGTAATTCAAAGGTAATATTATCATTCCTGTGAATAGCCTTTCTGGTTCATTGTAAGTTTACTTGCATTATTATATTTAAAAAATTCAGTAAAGGTTAATGTTATTTTGCTTGCTTCAGTGATCCTATGCTTGATTTTCCCATTTCAGATGATAACGTATGTCATATGAAAGTTTTCAACTTAACTCTTGTTTTCATGATGTGGTCCTGCACACATTTATAAGCACATATTTTAAAGACATTGTTTGCCTTAAGGAGAAGTCATTCAAAATTATGCAAATGGACAGGGCCAACTGTAAATAGTTCTGAGACCCTATGTATTGCTTTCTCCCAAAAGGAGCATGTATACCCTTTTTTTCTGTAATCACATTGTAGAAACATGGGCCAAAGTAAGTTACAAAATATAATGGGAAAATGACAAGCTTCTAGAATTGTCTAACATTGTCATTAATGTCATTCTTGGGGTAGATCTTTGATTGTTTTTCCATTTTCCTTTTGCTTTTACTCCTATTTTTTCCTTATATAGTACCACATATTTAGATAGCCTCATTTTTTCCTTTAATTCATACACAAATAAATAATTTCCCCTCAATTGCCCTGTGAGCTGCAACTCTACTTCCTTAGAGTTCCTGTCATAAGCAACTGATCTCAGTACCCAACTGAAGCAATGTTCTTAAGGATACTTTTATAATATAAACCTCCAATTAATATAAATAATGTCTCATGATGTTTCTCTTTCAAGCTGCTTCCTCATAAATCATTTTCCCATTCTTAAGAACAACTCTCAATATAAGGACAAACCCATAAGCTAGAAAAATAGCTCTTGAAGTATAGAAAATATCATCGAAGATTTCTTTTCTGGTGTGACTCTTCTAAGCATGGGATTAAACTTGAGGACATCTAAGTTTGTAGCCAAAGTATGGGTCATTTACAGTCAAACCACCTGTATTCAGATGCTGGGGTGCTTTTCACTCATCAGTCATAGTTATTTTTAGCATGAACAAATGTGCTAAGTGGGTATCAGCTTGGTCCCATGTTTACTAGAAATTTTGAAACAATTTCCTTTAGAATGGCTCCAAAATGATTGTCTCTCCCTCAGAGGATGGGTATTGGTTTGGGAGCCCCACATTTGTCCTCACTTGATTTGACTAAAAAGATACTTGGTAATTATTTCTGAAGAAGCGAACCAATTATATGAATAGCATGTTTTTGCTATTTGCTATCTATTTTAACTTGAGTCTTTTATTAAGCAGTACTTATAAATGCCCAGTTTGCTGCTATGCTGGTTGTTGGGGTTGTTACAGCGACAGGTGGCCTTCTGCAAGCCAAGAATAGAGGCCTCAGGATAAACTAAGCCTATTGACACTTTGGTCTTGGACTTTTGGCTTCCAGAATTGTGAGGAAATAAATTTCTGTTGCTTAGTCCACCCAGCCTGTGGCATTTTGTTATGGCAACGTGAGCCAATATAACATCCAGGTTCTCAGTAGTGCCTTTCTAACTCAAACACTAAACATAATTTTTCTTTCCAGCTGTGACATTATTTGAATCTTTGCATTGCTCTTCTATTTTCTGCAATATTATCATTCCCTTCACTACTTCCATGAGGATTATGGCAAGAGGCCCAGGGAGTTTGTATTATTTGAGAACTGACAGCCAGAAAGTAACAACTGGTCAGAAATATACTCAAACATTTACTCTTTAGAAAGTAACAACTGGTCAGAAATATACTCAAACATTTACTGAAAGAGATCAACTATAAATAGAGTTAGAGATATTTTAGAGGCTCGGTCTGATGTTTCACATTACATTGAATCTTTAGGTGAGTAGCTCTATGTGTTGACTGTGATGGCATCCTGTCTTTCCCTTCAAAAAAAAATCAAAACATTTAATTATTTACAAGCTTATTTGTACTACTCATTATATTTTTTAATAATATATGTTGCATCTCGTAAATACTATCCTCTCAAACAGTAATTTCAGGATAAACAAATAATTAAATATTCACATTAAATAGAAGAAAGGCTAAAAATACATAGTAATGTATTATGAAATAGTATGAATGGTGCAGCACTTATGAAATTTGAGAAACAAATTATACATTATCATTTAATTACAGTCCAACCTTTGAATTTGTCTTTTATAAGACAAACAAATTTTGAAATATTTGTTTTGAGTGATTTGTGTAATTAAACTTTGATTCCTATAAACAATCTGATGGATAAATACTTAAATTTGAACTGTCCTGGGCAACATTGCTATATTGGTCAATCATAACTTCCATATCTTTAAACAGATAATTTAATTAAATTTAATAGAATAATTAAATGTATTTATTTTATTCTAGTTTTACAAATATTTTATACCATAAAAAGTTAATTTAACAAACATTACAAATATAATCAATCAAAATATTTTTCACATAAAATAAGCAGAATATAACATCTTAATTTCTAAAGAAATTGTTAGACTGATTATAGCTTAAGATCAAATGAAGTAGATAACAAAGTACCCAGCACAATTCATGTAAAATAGTAAATTACTACTTGTGAGTCTTATTTTATTTTATTTTATTTTATTTATTTATTTTTTTGAGATGGAGTCTTGCTCTGTCACCCAGGTTGGAATGCGATGGCACAATCTCAGCCCACTGCACTGAAGTTCAACAATTCTCCTGCTTCAGCCTCCGGAATAGCTGGTATCATGTGCCACCACACCGGGCTAATTTTTGTATTTTTAGTATAGATGGGGTTTCACCATGTTGGCCACGCTGGTCTCAGACTTCTGACCTCACGTGATCGATCTGCCTCAGCCTCCCAAAGTGCTGGGATTACAGGCATGAGCCACTGCACTTGGCCCCCACATACGTATTTATACACATATATACTTATGGTTGTCTTTTGTGGATATATGTGTGTGTGTGTGTGTATGTGTGTTCATTTATACTTATGGTTACGTTTTAAATGAAAATAATATGTGAACTGCATTATGTATGGCCTAATGAAGTGTTTGTGAAAACGCCTAATGTGTAATTTTTAAACAATTGTGAACATACTGAAAGACTTGCTAATTGCCTGTCTTACAGCTGCAGACTACTGCTAAATTGATATAATATGGATAAGCAGAAAGTTGTTTCTGTTCTTTTTTAAAAAAGAATATTTGTGATAAAGACATAAGTAGGGTCAAAACAAAACTTTTCCTCACAGTTTTTAAGAACAGCTAGACTTATCTTCTAGAAATAGAAACCAAACAATTTTCTCAATTTAATTTCAACAATTTACACTGTCACCAATTAAAGAAGGCAATTTTTTTTTGTTTTTTTTTGAGATGAGTCTCGCTCTGTTGCCCAGGCTGGGGTGCAGTTGTGCAATCTCGGCTCACTGCAACCTCCACCTCCTGGGTTCAAGCGATGCTCCTTCTCCAGCCTCCCGCATAGCTGGCATTACAGGCACACACCACCATGCCCAGGTAATTTTTGTATTTTTAGTAGAGATGGGGTTTCTCCATGTTGGTCAAGCTGGTCTCAAACTCCTGACCTCGTGATCCACCCGCCTCAGCTTCCCAAAGTGTTGGGATGACCTGCATGAGCCACTGCACCCGTTCTAAAGAAGGCTATTTACCAGCTCAAAAGATATGGAAAAATATTTAACTTTTAGAAACTGAATGTCAGATAATTTATTCACTTGAAACCTTTTCGTGATAAAAAAAAAAGCTGTTTGAAGACAAACAAACAAACACACAAAAACAAAAAGAAACCAAAGTCCTGGACACCGGATAGTATTTCAACAAATTAATAGTATGATGCCAAAGAAAATTCATTTGGATTATATATCAAGCAAAAAGCAACTTTTATAAATGTACTTTGGTATGAACTAGTGTTAAAAAATTAAAATGTTATTGCTGTGAGTGTTATGACACTTGAGTGAAACAGTGAGCATCAGTGTGCACACTGAAAGACAATAAATAATGTTGTTTGAAGTATGTCAGCTCTTTTCATTATTCCATGCATCTATCATAGCTTTATTTGTAGTACATTAGAATTCATTTGATCTTTTAAATTAAATAAATAACTTATTTCTGAAAGTAACTCAAAGTAAAAAGTCTTAAAAACCATTGAAGTCATTTTGATGCCACTAGGATATAGAGTATGGAAAGAAAAAATGGGACATATTGTATATGTATTACATGTAATGTAAACTTTATTAATTATAAGCTCTAAAGATATACATTGATAAATAATAAGACATTGAAAATAAACTTTAAAGTAAAAATTTAACCAGCCATGTATAAATGCACGTCTCCCCACAGAGCTTGTAACCAGGCCTGACTTTGGCCCCAAGTGAATTCATTGTCACCTGGTCCTGAAGTTATTTATTGCTACAACAAAGAAACAACAACAACAAAAAAAATGCAGCAATGCTTTCAACAAAGGTGAAATTAATGGTGAAAATGGAATGAGCACCTGGACCCAACTGTTAAAAACCTTAAAAACTAATGTGACAGTCAAATTATCAAAATGTGGAAATTCAAATCATTTTAGTGGACACAAATCAGTAAGTGGCCAGGACAGAACTGTCTGGAAAGTTTATAATACACACCCAAGAAATGAAGAAGAAAACAATATCCTGCTGTTTCGAAACCAACCAGTTGGAATATGACATGACAGTGCATAAGCTAGAAACGTCCCAGTGATTTATCATTGAACATTCTATGTTGACAGATAGATTAAATAAACAACATGTCACAATTGGAGTTGGCCATTAAGAAAGGAAATCCACTAACTGAATTTGAAATTAATGTTACCAACAGGAGGCTTCAGGAGAATTGGAATTTAACCAAACGACAAATAGAGTCCTCTGTTGGTGCAGAAGCAGAACAGCATACATTAAAATGAGAAAGGAAGTTTAGCAAAGGAGGGGCCAAGAGTAACTAATGAAAAGCGTGAGCATTTAGTTGCATATCTTTCCCACTAAGCAGACAGCTATTAAACTCCTGGCCACTATCTCAAAGTAATGCCTACGCTTATATCCTATAGTCACATATATGACCAGGAACAATTTAAAGTTCTTGTCCAAATTCTGGACAAATATTATATACCACAGTAAGATATCTTAAGTAGTTTTATAAATATGTGTTTATTAAATGAGATATGGATAGTAGGGGAAAAATGTTTATTTGAGAGATTTACCCTTAGCAAGGAACAAATAATTCAAGATCTATTGTGCAAGAAATCTTGTACATAGACTGATTTCCTTCCTGTATAAGCCTATTTAAATTGGGTAGACAGATGCATGGCTAAAATTTTTAAATAATCCTTAATGAAACTGAAAAATGTGTTGCAGTACTATTTCATAATGGTAAGATAGCTATTTAAATTTATCACATCAATGTAATAAATAAAATAAAGAAATGTATTACAAGGAACTATAATTATTTTCTCAAATGATACATTAGAATAAAACAAAGAATAGCTTAAAAAAATATTTAAAATGTTTATAATCTATAACATTGATAGTAACTTTAATTGGAGCAACATTAGAATAGAATCTAAACTCTGAATATTGTTCTTATTTTAATGCCAAGAAAATAAATAATTCTGTCTCTGTTTTAACTTTTATGGAGTTGGGCTAGTGCATGTATTTACTTTAGATGATATGTCCCAATAAAATTATCTAAAACTATTGTAAAACTATGAGTCTCCACTGAGAAATGTAAAGTTATAATAGGAACTAAATACTTAAGAAGTTACAGCATGCCCTTCTATGAGGTCAGTAATTATTATAATAAATCAAGATACTTAGATTTAAAAATAGTGATGTAAAATGTTAAAACATTGCTATGACTGTAATTACTAAAATTGTGAACAAGTATTGTTTGTTTACATACTTTAATATACATGGGATTTTATTGTGAAAGAGACACTCTAGAACAGTCCACCTAAATATAAATGTATAGTTCTATTAAAAGATATATGAAATATATAACTCAGCATCCATTATATTAGTATAGGTTTTTAATTTAAAAAATTGAAATATCTGATATTTTGATAGTTGGGGATATTTTAATGGATAATATGCTTCTAAATAATATAATCTGCAACTAGGGAATTTTTATTATAAGTTTCAATGAGTCTGCTCAACAGGTATGATAAGTATAAGCATGAGTTCATCTGAATTAATAAAAACACATTATACTCGTACTTCAAGTATGGAAAAGAAAATGTGAAAAAAGAGTTGAAATTGTTTCTTTATATGTTACTTTTTAGATATAGGATTTATGCTACTTAGCTTATTCACATTCATTAAAACCTATTTATATAATATATGTTACCTGTATATGTTCCATTTTTTGTTGCAGTAGAAGAAGTATATTGTAAAAATCTAAGGTTTGTGGCTTACCTGTCTTGTGCCATGAGACTATAGGATAATATTTCTTATTGATGAGAAAATAATAGAATATAATTCTGAAGGCGATATATGTTGCAATGGAATACAGTTCATTTTTAAAGTGATAACTTTGATTCCTCCCTCAAAAGTTTATCTTTACACTTCATGAGAAAACTGCCAAATGTCTTTGCAAAACCCTAATTACTGACATGTGACAAAAATTTTGGCTGAGGTTCATGTAGAAATAAAACATCAAAACAAAAACTTGACCAAGCAGTAGAATGAATGCCTTCCCATGATTTAAGAAAATATACCTTTTTTTTTTTGTTTTTTTTTTTTACTTACCAACACCTAAAATAGAAAGATGATGAATTTGGTGTGGTATCTTAATCTCTATTCCTTCTGAGCCATTTACATAATATCAGAAATTAAGATCTATTTGTTTCACTTTAGGCATAAAAATTAGGTACATAACGGGTAAGTCTGACATCCCATCTCAAACTGGGATTCTTTCAGAAATTTGCACTTTCCATGACATTTAAATTTTTATAAAGCCTATTCCCAGATAATAAAGTAAGAAAAAACAACACATGCGAGAATGTGCTTAAGCAGAGCTATTAACTCAAATTTAAGCAATAGTTGGGAAAACTAGGGAAAACTATTGCTTAACCACTGGAAAATATTTATTGCAGTCCTAAGTCCATGATATATCATATAAATCAGGTAAAGCATGCAGGTAAAAGAAGTATCTTTTTGATTGCCTAGGTTTCAAAAATCACTACCATGTATTCTCATCAAGAAAGAATGGGAAAATTATAGGTTTTCACAAAAAGATAAGAAAATTGATGCTCTGAGTTTAGGAAATCATGAGTATTAAGCCAAGAAAGAACACAAATATTTGATGTCAGTGTCATTGATACTACTCATGGACCTTGAGAATTTGACTAAGTATTCTAGCAGGAAAATGTAGTGATAGAATACCCTTAACAAATAAATGTGCTTTTCTATATGGTGAGAAACCATCTTTTATTAACAATTATGCTTTAGTAAAAAACAAACTTAGAGTGATAGGAAGATCTGGAAATCAAGTAGTCACGCTGAAAAATCAACAAAGGATGTAAATTAGGAAGGAGATGTTATAGCCAGAGAAAAAAGAAAAAGAAAAAATTAAAAAAAATTTAAATTATATTTAGATTGTAAATTGTACAGAAAATAAATACAAAACATAGTTTCGCATTTCACAGTAGCTATGAAGTAAATGGATCCTGATTTTGCCCCAAATTTGAGGGCGGTGATACTAATGCCAAAGAGTCCTAGTCATGAGCATAATTTAACATATATTATATGACTGAGAATTTGTGGGGAGACAAGTTTTTAGGAAACTGAGTTTGTTTTTAATTCTAATACTTGATGACCCACCAGAGTTAAGAAAGACAAATAAAAGAGTTGATATGAAAATTGTCTGAAAAGTTAAAAGTGTTATGCAAAGCTAAAGTTTTTTTTTTTTTTTTTTTAATGAACTGGGTTTTACCTGTCCATGAGTCCCTGTGGTTTGTCAGTGATCCCTTAATTTCACTGAACAAACCTATTGCATCTTATGCTGACATGACCAGAAGTCAGCATTATATTCAATATAATTTTCCATGAAGCGGGTGTTTTACAACTAAATGAAAAAACAACTATCATGCAGTAAGCATTTCTTCAAGCATATTTTACAACTTCACTACTGTTCAAAATATTTTCTACTGTTCCATATTTGTCCCTTGGGCTTCAGCTAAAAAAAAAAAATCAGCTTTATTTAAGTATAATGTGTTCTATCAGTGGTGGTTATTGGATTGCTTTCTTTACATAACTACCAACAAGAAACTCTTGGTATATAAAATAAAATATTCTTTCATGCCAAAGCATAATTACTCATCCAAACTAAAGATGTAATTCAAAGTTTTGGCTAAAAGTGACTATATTTGCAAAGTTCCAAAAGTTAAAAAAAGTAAAGCTAAGTGATAAAAATCATTAGCTGATGATGTTTACAGTTTTGCTTTTTAGTTACTTTAGCAGATGCAATATTGGCTTCTTTTCACAGTACATTAGATATGCAATTACTGGAAGCAAGAGATAGATTTACATTATATAAAACTGGTCAGCATAAGATTAATTATGAGCAGAGAACTAAAAATGTGCCAGTGTTGAAATAGTTATCACCATGAGGACATTCAGATCCAAATGATTAAATTAGCCTTTGGCTAGATGATAACTACTTGACAGTCACCAAATTAGTAAAATGCAGAAATTAAGAATCATGGCATTCTTTACCATAAAAAGACTGATACTGATATTTTATATCTTTATTGTATACATTTGATTTTCTTTACCCATTATGAATTTCCTTTTATTACTTTATTAATATACATATGGAATTCTTATAAGAAAAATCACAAAGTTTGTGTTGTTTCCTATGACCCGGCTTCACAGTTCTGCTAAGAGGTTTAGATCAGTAATATTTGGTTCAACTTAGATCAAATGCATATTTAATTTAAGAAAAGAAATAAAATAGTAATATAATAGGTAGTTGGATATATGAACCTGGATTTGAGAAGAGAGGTTCAGGCCAGAAATACAAATCTGAAAGCCATGATTGTACAGAGTAAAACCAGAGACCAGATAAGATCACTAAGAGAAGGAGTACAGAAAGATCAAGAAACAAACAGGTAAATGAATGTATGACCATTCCGAACACAAAACTTTGAACATGCCAAACATTTTAAATTAAGAAAATGAGGAGGAACCAACAAAAAAGGACTTTAACTTAAAAATATTTGCCAGTAGAGTTGGACAAAATAAGAATAGCAAGATGAAGAGAATCAACAATGTCAAATGGTAAAAACAGGTCAAATATTGACACATATAAGAGAACTTTCCATGAAATGCTGAGGGTTTTTCCATGAAAAATCCCATGGAATATGGATTTAAGATAAAATGAAAAGAAATATATTTGAAATCAAAATTCCATAGGAAACTTTTCTAAGGACTTTTGCTGTAAAGGGGACAAGAGAAGTAGTGCAGAAACTGGAAAGAAATATGGGTGAAAAACAGTTTTACAGGTTGTTGTTTTGTTGTATTCAAGAAATAGTTTGGTTTTGAGCAATCAATATACAAGAAGGTAAATAAAATGTCTAAAGATGAGGTTGAAGATATAAGTCATGACTGTGAGTTCCACAGAGCACAGTGAAAGTGTCTTGGGAATTAGTAGCAAGTAGGAAAGGTATATGGAAACAGATTGAGGAGAGTTGATTAGAGGAGGGAGGGAAGGAAAGATGACCAGGCAGTTCTGGTAATAACTTTCCTTTTCAAACTGTTTCCATTTAGCATAATTAAATCTTCAACTTCAGAAACTTTTTTTTTTTTTTTGAGAGGGATTCTCACTCTATTGCTCAGACTGGAGGTGCAATGGCACAATCTTGGCTCACTGCAGCCTCTGACTCTCGGGTTCAAGCAATTCTTTTGCCTCAGCCTCCTGAGTAGCTGGAATTACAGGCATGTGCCACCAAGCTCGGCTACTTTTGTATTTTTAGTAGACACTGGGTTTCACCATGTTGGTCAGGCTGGTCTCGAACTCCTGACCTCAAGTGATGTGATCCACACACCTCAGCCTCTCAAAGTACTGGAATTACAGGCATAGGCCATCACACCCAGCCCAGATACATTTCTGTTTCTTAGTTTTTAACTTACTTGTTAATCATACTCCTAATACAAGGAGTACGATTTAATATCAGTGATATAAATTGTTTCAGTAGCTATAGCTGAGTTGTAGCATGGGTATAATAGAGGTGCCAGAAGTTGGTGATTTCGTGAAAATAAAAAGTGCCTTAGTATAATTTTTTAATTGCTTATGAGGGTTATGTATTGCATTTTTTTTTTATCTTGTTCAGCATCTAGAATATGTTAAATTTCTAATTTTTAAGGATGAGCTTAGCAGCAGATAGTTGACATTGCCAGGAAAATATTGGGGATAGGATTTCAGATAATCTGCAGGGTGAGATGAAATCTAGGCGTCAAAATATCAGAGTATGACAATGACATATATACTTACTGACATGTCTGTAGGATATGGCTTTGTAAAATAAATCTGCTACAGATAGATCAACCCATTGGGATAAAAGGAAGTCTGACTTCAATAGCCCAGTCAAATGTGTCACCAGCACACTACACTTGTTAAACAGCATCAGGGAGATCGTGCAGGACCTTTAAGGATAAGTGCATTTAGGCGAACTGAAACTGGCTATTAAACAAGACCAGGATTCATAAAAGAGTAAAGCTCCTGCAATGCATTGCTGTTAAGTCATAGAACTAAAGCATTATCTCACTTTTCTCAAACTCTTCTGTAAGCTGAATCTATATTTTGGAATTCTTGGCTCCAGTTTTTTATGATGTATTTACACAAAAGAATCTCCTCTGCCTTCTAGTTTTTCAGTATTTCCATTCACATGGAAATCATTTTTTAATCTCCAAAGTAATATTAGACCAGTTAAAATGACAGCTAGATTTTTTTTAATTTAACACAAAAGGTTCTCTATAACAGTAAACATTTAAGATCAGACAATCAATTCTGAAAAAAACATAGAATTCATTCTCCTATACTTTAAATCCTATTATAAATGTAGAATTACAAAACAATTTACTATACTTGCACAAATAACAAGAACAAAAAAAAAAATCCAGAAATGGATTTAAGTATATATTAGAGATAATGTTAAAATGACACTTAAATGAGGGAGAAAATGACTAGTTATTTGGAAATAAAATAAAGCTCGTTTCTAGCTTACTCCTACATCAAAATGTATTCCAGATGGATCAAATTTTTAGCATACAAATATAACTGTGAAAATAGAAACAGAAATATGGGTAAATATTTCCTAATATTAAAGAAGGGAATATTTTTATAAGCATAACAGTAGCAGTAGCCAAAAAGGAAAAGGTGACAAATTTTTACACATAAAAATTTAAAAGTTTTATATGATGGAAGTAGTACCATAATTTTAAATAAAACAAGCAAACAAAAATTATGAAATTTATTTTCAGCTCACATGACAAAAGATAAATATGCTTAACATTTAGAAAAGCAGATCAATAAAATAGATTTGAACAATTTCATATATATCAGTCAAATAACACCTAAGCAAATTAGCGCCCACACTAGCTATTGTGATACCTTGCTATGAATTAGAACAAAGCCTCCCTTTGCCAGTAGCTAAAGCTCCCATCACAATGCATAGCGTGGGAAAATGTAGGCTGCATTTTAGCTCTATGTTATCTTCTCAGCCTGGGCATTATGAAGTAGTGATGATTATGATGGTCCTGAAAAAGTTGTTCAACCTCTTCCATAATCCAACAATTAATGTCAAAACAATATTTTTCACCTGTCATATTAAAAAGATGAAAATATTTGGTAATACTACATATTGCTGAGGTTGTTGAGGGGCAGGCATTCTCAGCTTGCGTAGATGGTAGAATAAATAGGTGTAATTGAAGGGCATTTTAGTAATATCTATCAAAATTAAAATGTAAAAAAATATATTATTTGATTTAGCCATCCATACACTTCCTATAGATATAATCTTATATGTATGCAAATGCTTGTGGGACAATGCAGTATTTTGCAGCATTGTCCTTAAAAGCAAACATTTGAAATAAACTATATATCAATAGAGGGTCAGTTGAATAAATTATTCAGTAGAATTCCATTGACAGTATATATGTGTGTGGGGGGGTGTAATTGCCATGTAATTCAATTCTACTTTTTAAAAAAGATTTTAGAAGCCCATTTTGTATTTTAGAATGTAAAATGGAAAGAGCAAAACAGCAAATTTGTAAAATGTAACCTATTATAAACTTAAAAATATTCCAATTTACTTTAAATGGGAATACTTAATAGTATTACTATAAAAGGAAGTATTTAAAAGCCTGCCATGGGAAGAATATGCTTTTACAGTGTTAATTTTGATTAGGGTAAGGTAATATTTCAATTGCATATTCCAATTATAAAATCATGGCATTGTATAATATTACATATTGCACTGCATTTCTATTTTGCATGCTTCCTTTCATTTTTATGCATAAGATTTTCAAAACTAAAATTAAGCGAATGACATAAAAACATTCCAAGAGTAAAACACTTTCTTTTATAAATGAGTATTAAAAATTATTCCTATATGTGAAAAATAACACATAATTTACCTACAAATTTTTATATCCTAGCTATGTTATACATTTAACAGCATATATGTAACTAGTATAAAGACTCTCTCTGACTTCATTGGGAGGTCCCCTTATCTCTTACTTGAATCCCTGCCATATCAAACCTACCTCACTTTTTTTCAGCCATGATCTTACGATCCGTTTTCTAAACAGACTTCTAGAGAGACTTTCCTAAAATGTACATATCATCTTGTTATCCTCTATTTAAGCACCTTCACTGGTTCTTAACAGCCCTCTGATGAATTCTACACGTCTAGTTTTGTGCTCTGGGCTCTTGGAGATCAGGTCCTGGCTTGTATCTCTCATCTCAATATCTTCACGTTGTGAACCAATAATTTCCTGCTTTTCTGAGCTACTGCATATGAGATTTACTCTCTCTCTAGGGCAGACAAGCTCAGTCATTGGGCTCAGTCATTGCTACTCTTTTGGCCTGGGAATTGTTTTATGCCCTTTGCCATCACCTCCTCAACATCCCATAGGTAATCCTTACCTATCATTTTACGTTCATCTTCACGTTACCTCTCAGAGAAGCCTTCGTTGACCAGCACATACCTGTCTGGTGAAACACTTTCCCAGGTGTTCTGGGAGCCCCACTTTAAAGCTGTAGTGCAACACATACCACTGTGTATAATTGTTTATTTACCTGCTTTTCTCCTCTACTGGAATATAAGCTCTCAGGAGCAGGAACACTTTCATTCATGTCTGTATTTCTAGACACTTGCAATATGCAGGACCAGTAGTATGTACAAAATAAAAAGTATGTTAAATAAATTAATCATTCATTATATAACACTTCATATTCTCATACAAAAGCTCAGAAGAGACATATTAAAGAACAAAAAGAAGTAGAGAAATATATTTCAAAGTAAAGTAAGAAAACTTCAAATGGGAGGGGTTTTTTGGACAAATAATGTTGGAGAAGCCATACATAATGCCTTCCTACTTAAATTCAAAATGCATCTTACCATATAAAACTTACTTTCTTAAAAGTCCAGAATGAAAGAAAACTTAACTTTGTTTAAATCAACCTTAGGCATTAATTTTACAGTTTTTTAGGCATCTATTGACATAGTGTAGAATTAATAGAGCTAAATGCACTTTGGGAAGTACTTCATTTTGGTGAAGCATGACATTTATTTTTCACACATAGATAGAAATAGCTAGGAAGGGAAATGTGATGTTTGTCTTGATTAATTAAGAAATGAATATCTCAAGAGGGCCAATTTTTAATACAAATTAAAAGAACATATATGTCAAGCAAAACATATTTAGGAATGTATAATGAAGTATTAACACCTCTGACACATATTTTTATATCTTGTTTATCACAGTTTATACCAAACATAAATGATGAAGCCCAATGAAGATACATGTCTATATCCTCAAAATTCTTAGAACTGTGTTAGGAAATTTGTTCTTTTGTTACATGGCGCTGGCTTTTTCTTCCTCGTCCCCATTTTTATTATCTCAGTATCTTAGCTTATAAAATTAAATAAAGTGTTGATGGAGATCAGAAGGATTCTGTTTCAAGTAACATGCATACATGTTACTGACAACCAATTTACATCACCATTCTTTAATTAATAGTCCTATATTAGGCAAATGTTCTATTTCCCATATCCTTAAGATTTAAAAAACATTTAAAAACTAACAGTGTGATTGAGATTTTTGACTACACTTATTCTGCTTGAGATAATTGATGAATATAAATAGAATAACAAATAAAACAAATAACCCAATCTTATAAGGCCTTCTATCATGGAGGGAGAGGCATGATGTGGAAGAGGCATGACATCAGCTTGGAGAGTATGCAGTCAAATTCTTGTTCAAGAGTGAGGAATGAATACATTCATGTATTTTTATGGAGAATAGGACAGAAGAGAATGAAAAAGATACATTTAAATAGTATGAGGTAAGATTTAACGAAAGAAAATTAAAAATAGATGAGACTATTTTTGTTGGAATAATTTCTCTGATCTGCTTGTGTTGTGAGTCTAAGTGTCATTATGGAGATTGTAACATATTTCAGATTAACATCATGTAGCATTATCAACACACAGAGCTATTTCAAGGAACATTGAGAAGAGTCTATATTCTTGGAGACAGGCCAGCAGTCAGGCATTTTAAGGTTGCATTAGAATTTGCTTTCACAAGTCTTATTTTTCAATCAAGAAAATATTAATTTTGTTAGTGTTTGCAAAATTTAATTTATGTAGTTTCTTAACAACCAATGAGGTTTTTTTGCTCTTTTCCTATAGTATATACTTTATTGGTTTCATGTAGTTTATATTTTATTAGTTTGTACAACACATTCTCATATTATGAAGGCAATTTAGGAAGAATCTTCCTTTTGATATTTGAATCATCTGAAATAACACAAACAGAACTATACATTCAAATAATATTCCTAATTCAGATAACAGAAAAAAAGACAAGTTAAATGCCAAAAAATATTTTCCTTTCTCACAGGTGGACATTGAAGTGGACCTGATTTGGTTTTCTTTTTAAAAGGCCTCCAAAAGAAAAGTTATTTAAAACCTATTTAAAACAAAAAAATTATTTGGTTTACTAAACTACTGGTCTCCATCACCATTTTCTTTTTTCTGTTTCTTTGTCTGTTTCTTCCCTTGCTCTTTTCATAGGTCCAGTTGCACCATTTTCATTATTGCTAGCAAATTTCCTTTACTTGCTCAGAAAGTGTAATTTTCTTTTAGCAGATCCAGGCTGTGCAGCTTTGTTATGCTTTCCTTTTCCTTTAAGTCTGCGACCTTTTGAACTCCATTTGTTTAGGGATTCTTGTTGGTCTTCTATAATTTTTTTCAATACTTCTTTTTCAAACAGATCTGTTTTTTTACATCACTTTTATACTCATCAGTCACTTCACTGAAGGGATTGCTGTAACACCTTCTGATTTCAGTTTTATCTTCACTGATTTCCATGAGTTCTGCCTTGGATTTGCTCAATGCTTCTACAATTACATTGAAGACTGTTGTTAGGTGGTTCAACCTGTTGAATTATCTCATCTCCAAAGGTACCCAGCCTTCATCGAGTTTGATCTGTTTCTTTAAGAATGTGTCCCATGGAAAACTGAAGTCTCCAAAATTATACTCAATTTGATGACAGATTTTGGCCTTAAGCGCAGCCTTATTTTTTTAATCATCACCATTTTCTCCCATTGTGGCTATCTTTAAGGTCCTGCTCCTGTAGAACCACACCACAGACTCATGAACAGCAACAGCAATGTCTCCACTTTAATAATGGTCTCCATTACATTAGATAATGAGTGTTGTGATTATATGAGCTGAATGGGACAAATTTCAAAGTTATTGAACACTGAAGCATATATGTTTTGTCTTTCAGTCCACAACCATATATATCATCTGTCAATAAATCTAAATCTGTTGTTTAATTATGTGTATGTATATGTGTATACGTGTGTGTGTGTATGTATTACTAAAGTTGCTATAGAAACTTGTATTTCATTAGGATTACTTTTTAACAAAAGCAAATAAGTGACAGAAATAGAAACTATGATACATTTTAACAAACGTGGTTGAGAACTACTTGATATTTTATACTTGAGGACACTCTATGAATAATTTACATCAGCTACTTTTGTTCCATAACAACAGTTTTATAAATTACTGTGCATATTTTCAGGCAATGTTTAAATACTAAGGGAGATGCCTAGAAGATAATAAGAAAAATTATTAAAAAGAAAGTGATTTTATTATATACCTAGTAATATTATATACCTAGTAATTAGAGTAATACCCTGAAACTGATGTTTTAAGTAACAATAGTTAGCATTGGTGAATTCTTAAAAGTGTAATTTTTAAAACATCAGCTCAACAGTTCCCAACTGGTTTCTGACAATCAATTCAAAATTATTCCAAGTAGATTGAACAAATCATTTAGAAAAGGATGCTACCTATATTAAACTCTATTTTTGAATTAATGAAGCTAATTTACCATAATAAAATAATGGAGTGCTTTAGTGATTTTTCTCAATATACATTTTTAGAGTATTCTTTTATTTAATTGTTAAAAATAGAGGTAATATTGTATCATTTACAAAGTCTTACCAAATCCAAGTTTGATTCAGTTAATGGAATACTTAGAATATTTTCTAGGACTCTCTGAAACCAAAAGCAATCATATACTTTCTATAATTGCAATCATTTAAAGAAAATATCACAATTTGATATTTATTTTCCCTGGGAATTTTGTATATATCAGCAACTTGAAATTAAACAGAAGCAAAAGAAGTATTTCTCTGAACCTACAAAAGACAATTATTTGATTTTTTTGTTTAATTTTTGCTACAAACCCACAATTTGCATCAGAAAATGAGGAGTTTGCCAGAGTTTCCTAACTTTTTTAGGAGTTCTAGCTATTCTGACCATCAGCATTTTGAATAAATCAACAGGATCGACTTATAGGCTGTGAATATAAAAATCTGTTTATATAAAGTCACTGGTCACTACCAATCAGAACAAGGTATTTTGTGTGGGTGAACTGATTTCTGAGGCCTACCTATTGGTATGGACAGAAGACAGGGAAATTCTGGGTAGAAGACGGTGGTTCCCTGGCAAAAGCCCCACCCTCAAGCCTGAAGACCCCTGGCTCCAAGTGAGGTCAGGAATTTCGGTTCGCAGGCCCAAAGAATTACCTTTTTCCTGCTACATCCCCTATACTGTGTCCATATTAACCCAAGACCTTAGCGGACATAGACACAAGCAGCTGAACATCCAGAGGAACAGAGGGGCAGGGTGGCATGACAGAGAAAGAGAGAAGAGAAAGATGTCTGGACACACAGAAGGGAATTCAGCCAGGGGCGGAGAAGAGTCTAACCAGTGGGCATCTGGATTCCAGGGGAAGACCACCTTCCCACTCCATCTCCTGCTTCCAGCTCCCCATCCATCTCCATCTAGCTGAGAGCGACTTCCACCACTCAACAAAACCTTGTACTCATCCTTCAAATCCAAGTGTGATCCGATTCTTCCAGTACACTGGGCAAGAACTCAGGCTGTCACACTGATCCCCCTTCCCTTGTGATAAGGCAGAAGATCTACTGAGCTAATTAACACAAGCCGTCTGTAGACAGCAAAGCTGAAATAACACACTGTAACACATGCCCGCTTGGGCTTCAGGAGTCATAGAAACCCACTTGTAGATGCTGCTGTGGAGCTGGAGCCCAAAAGCACTCTGCAGGGCCTCTGCACCTGCCCCTCTGCATGCTCCCCCTAGAGGTTTGAGCCTCAGGGCAGTGGGGTGACCAAAGGAGTGAGCCACACCCCTATAGTACATCCTGCTAGGGAGATAAGGGAGCTCTCCAGTTTCACTGTCACAGAATCAAAGCAGAGTAGACACAGAGGAACGAGTGAGGAGACAGAATTTGAAATCTTCGAGATGAAAATATTCTAAATGATTACAAGTGTGGCTGATGAATAGCTAATGCAGAAGCCAAATGCATCTAAACATTCCAGCACCATTTGGTTTTGCATGTGTGAGTTGCCTTTCTTCTAACATTCTCAACAACAGAGGGCATAGTGATTTGTTATTGTCAAGCTATAGTATTCCACAAACAAAGTGCAGATGCAGGATGGCTGTGTAATGATGTGATAAATCAGTCAATTTGAAGCTGGCAGAATATCATTAGCATTGCTTTTATTTAATAGAGGAGAAGAGAGGCTTTTTGAAATTGATCTCTAGATAATGACTAAAAAATAATTGAGTTAATATTGAATTTTACATAGAATGATAAACTGCAAATCAGTAAAACTGCTAGTAAAAATATGAAATACTTTTAAATTTATTTTTTAGAAATTGTACAAAAAGTAATATAAAATTTAAGTTAAATAGTGTATTATTCTGGGTTCTCCAGAAACAGACACAATTATACTATTATATACAGTATTATATTTAAATAAACACATATTCATATGAAAATATATGTTATATTATATCTAATGAGGTGTGTGTGTGTGTGTGTGTGTGTGTGTGTGTGTGTGTGTGTAAATTATGCATACATGATTTCCTAGAAGGAACTGGCTTATGTGATTATGGAGACAGAGAAGTTCCATGATCTGCAATGGACAAGCTGCAGACCCAGGAGAGTATATGATATATTTCCAGTCCAAGTCCAAAGGCCTGTGAACCATGGGCGGTAATGGTGTAAGTTTCTAGTCCAAGTTTGAGACTGAAGACAAAAGAAGATCAATATCCAAGATTGAAGATGGTCAGGCAGGGAAAAATAATTCTTTCTTACTCAGCCTTTTATTCTATTCAGGTCTTCCACTGATTGGATGAGGTCCACCTACACTGGGGAGGTCAATCTGCTTTGCTTAATCTACTGATTCAAATGTTAATCTCATACAAAATCACCCACACAAACATATCTAGAAATGCTATTTCACCAAATATTTTGGCTAAAAACTTTAGCCCAGTCAGGTTGACACATAAAATTATCCATCACATATAGCATGGGCTTATCACCGTATTTCACATTTCATATAATGCATATACTCTTATTAAGTGTTCTGAGCACATTTTTAACAATGTGGTACCAGTTGCTTAGATGATATTGTGCAAAGCTTTTTTTTTCCTTTTTATCACCAAAGTGTATTAATAATATTGTAACTACCTGCCATAAAATATATTTTTATATAGTTTCAACACTATAGAATATCTAATCTGATGCCAATATTTTTTATCTGATTTAGTATTACATGCTGCTTGCATATACACATTTATCATTATAAAATATAAATATATAATGAAAGATACAGAAAGAGAGAAAAAGGAGCTATGTGCTGTCAAGTTTCAAGAAGATTGTATTCTAAGTGTTTGTGTATTCTGCCAGTTATTTCAAACTTAGAAAATAGTTAATAAAGCTAATTTACCATAATAAAATATGAAACAATGAGATATGAGGTGGTTGGTTTCAAAATAGTACCACAGAAACAAACTTAATCCATGTTGTAGCCAAACAGATATGCTGTTAGCACCAAGTTCTAACTTTCATTCATTATTTTTTCTATGGAAAATGCATGTGGCACTATGCGTTTTATTTCAGATTTCATTTAGGTAGTGTCTTTGTCTGCAAAGTTAAAGAGAGCCCTCTAAGATTGAAAGCAATATTCTTTTTGTTCTAAATTGTTACTACTGTATACTTCAGTTGATTTAATGGAAAAAGACAAAAGTTGGGATTGGAGCTATGGCATGGGTAGAGATTTCCTACATTTGTTTTGGATTACCTTCTCTTGGGATCTAACAGAAGATGAGTATCTCTAGTTAATGATATCGTGTACTGTGCTAAATGAGCAGAACCAAAACTCTTGTACTGGACAGCAGCTTCCACCTCCCCTAACTTATTTTGCTAGGATGATTATGATTAAACTTTATGTAACTAAAAAAGATAATACAAAGGCAGTAGATCTACACATCTAATAAGTAGGTAAAAGAAATTTATAAAAAAGTGATTGTAAAAGCAAACAAAAATCCTGTTTCCAATGAGCCCTGCTTCTAGTAATGGGAACAGAGGAGACACTCCATAAGTAGCTTTAAACATCTTCTCATACTTCTCATTATTGTGGTGTTCATCTATCTTGATGAAGTGATATCTTGAGACTTCTCTTTGACTTTCTACTTGAACAATGACAAGTTGGGAGTGCAGTAGCTGACAAGCTGAAGTCTTCAACAAATCCTTTTTATTGCATTCTCTACCAGATGCATCATTCCCAGAGAGAGGATACTTGACTTCCCATGACTGTATTGGGGAATAAATATGGAATTTTTGAGTCACTAAAGGAATTTAGTTTCTGCTATTTGCTTCATATACCTACTGTTTAGATTGATACTAACAGTATTGTTAACCCATTTAAATGGTTTTGAAAAAAATATTGCCTTCACGGATCTTCATCATGTAACTTAATTACCATGAGTTGATAACATCATGTAATGAATTATTTTTAACTAAAAGAGTCAACTAGAAACAGAAAGTTGCATTGGAATTTATATTTTGATGGCTGGCCATGGCAGCAGAGTGTGAGGGAACTAGCCAAAGATAGAGAAATAATTGTTTCCCTAAAAGATGTGAGATTTAGAAAACAAAAGATAGCCTCAAGCACTCAGGGTTCTGATAGATGATGCAGATTCCAGGCCCAGGATGGGCAGGACCTTCATTTGATCAACTAGACTGGGATACAAGAAAAGATTGATGTCAGGGCAACAAATAGCTGTAAATCTTAAGTAAAAAATGTTCATGATCAAGTACCTCTGGCTGTGTATATAGTCATTGCTGCCTATTTTTATTTTGTTGAGAGATTGCCTGGATTACATGCTTGTCAATTATTGAATTTGAATATTTAAATGTAAAAACAGAAACATGCATCATAGTAAATTTTAGTAAATCTTTTCTTCCCTTCCTCCTTAAGCATGTAGTAAACATGTTCAGGGACCTATGCTAACCACTCACAGATGAATATATATACACTTATATGTTCATACATACATACATGCATACATATATATACACATACATCAGTGGCTCTCAATCCAAAATAATTTTATCCCTCAAGGAATATTTTGCAAATGTTTGGAGATATTTTTGACTGTCATCACTGGTGAGGAGGTGCTACTGGCATCCAGTAGGTAGAGACTAAGGATGCTGCCAAACATCCTACAATGCACAGCACAACCTCCCACAACAAATAATTATCTAGTCCAAAGTATCAGGAGTGCTAACTGCTGATGCTTACAGACTAATGGATCTAAAGAACTATGCACTATAAGACTGTAATAATATTTTTAAATGTCATTTTATTTATTTGCATACAGTTTTTTGAAGGAAATCTATCCAAATATTTCTTATAATTAACTACTTATAATTGCCAATCCATGCAAAAGGAAAGAGAAATCTCAAACCTTTTTGATAATTTTTTACATAAAAATAATGATAATTACATTTGTCTTAAGCATCCATAATAAATTGAAATGATGCTTGGAGGATTATGTCAAGTTCAAGATATATTTTCATTACCATGAAGTTTGATTTATTCCAATTATGAAAGTGAAGTTGCACCATGTAAAATACATATCTGCTAAGAGTAAAGCAAATTCAAAAATTCATTCTCTTTCATTTTAGTGCAAAATGCTTTAAGAAAATACAAAATACAATGTGAGAATCACATAAAACTTATTTGGAATTGTTGGCACCATGTCATTATGCTATTAATGACTCATTTATTTTAAGACATACTGATGTAAATAAAGTTAATTAGGATAGTTCATTACCTACCTGTGATTATTTAGAGACATTTTGAAAGAATTCATATTTAAGACTATTTCCCCAACTGACTAGCCACAAAGTATCTAAAATATCATAGGGATTCATTTTTTTTTTTTTTTTGGCCTATGGCTTTTCATTTCATGATTATCTATTTAAGCAAAAATATCCCAGAGAAAAGATGTAAAAATATTAAGAAAACAGCAATTTAGCGTAATTTTTTTGGGAAGGAGGATTAGTAGACAGTCACTTCTAGAGGTCCAGAAATAGAACACAGAGCAGATAAACACTGATAATGTCAAAGGAGAGCTAAGTAAGTTGGGAAACTGACCGTGGTGAAGAATGCCAGGGCCAGGCCCTAGCGTATGCACTTTTCACAAAGTATGTTTTAGTTTGGATTCTGACCAAAGTAGACCCTAAGACACAGAGTTAAGTAAAAATAGGTAATATAACTAAAACAGTGGGCAATTAAGGCAAGGAAAGAGGAAAATATAATAAGGGGTGCATTAACAAGCACGCTACTGATATGAGAAATTAGGATTCATTTTATTGGAAATTCTCTAGGGAACTATATAAACCATGCTTTAATATTTACACCCTAACAAACAGAAAATGTGAACTATCTATCCAATCAAATACTTTTATTTTCCAGAATACCTTCCCCATAAGCTGAGCATTCTCCTGTGATATTAGGCAAGGAAAAACCATCAGGCACAGACATAGAGTGATACATGTACAGAAAATGTCTGCTGCAGCTTTAGACGAACCGAGGGGTGGCACAAGGAAATAGGGGCAGACTATCAACAAAACCTACTGTGGGCTGGGTGTGGTGGCTCACACCTGTAATTCCAGCACTTTGGGAGGCCAAGGTGGGTGGATCACTGGAGGACAGGAGTTTGAGATCAGCCTGGCCAACATGGCGAAACCCCGTCTCTACTAAAAACACAAAAATTAGCTGGATGTGGTGGCGGGAGCCTGTAATCCCAGATACTCTGGAAGCTGAGG
Source organism: Homo sapiens (assembly GCF_000001405.40). Classification (NCBI taxonomy): domain Eukaryota; kingdom Metazoa; phylum Chordata; class Mammalia; order Primates; family Hominidae; genus Homo; species Homo sapiens. The sequence continues at coordinate 166,286,637 of NC_000003.12, read as the reverse complement.
CAGGAGAATCACTTGAACCTGGGAGGCAGAGGTTGCAGTGAGCGGAGATCATACCACTGCACTCCAGCCTGGGTAACAGATCCAGACTCCGTCTCAAAATAAAAAAATAAAAATAAATAAATAAATAAATAAATTTTAAAAATCTACATGAAGTATTTAATATGCTCCTCAAAATAACTAATTATTTCAATTTAAGAAACAGGAAAACTGAAAAACCGAAACACAGTTTGGTAAGAAAACTGAGGTTCACAGTTGTTAACTAACTTACTGTCGATTCACATAAGCTTATAAGAGCTGTAGTAAAGTTTGAAACAGAGATATCCTAGCCTGTAATCACATGCCCGTGACTTTGCACGTGCCTACGTTATGAAATGCACTAAATAGACAATGAATAGTAGTGCTACATCAGGGTGACACTGGGCTCCTAACTGATGTGAAATTGAAAAAGATATTGATTTAAGGAATTAGATAAGAATGCTGAGAACAGGTTAACATTTTGTTCAAGGATAAATCAAAAATATATACTACTTACAAATACATGTGAAGGATTGGCCATACAAATTTCTAAGTGCTATTTCTTTTAATGCTACTGAGAAGATCTTGGAGACAGAACGATTCTGTAAAATCAAGTTACCTGTCACCACCATTTGATTTCAAGAAAAATTAAAACCACAGCAGGGTCTTTCTAGCTTCTCAAAAGATAGGAATTAATACATCTTCTCTATGGAAAAGAATAAAGTAAGAAAATTATATAACAGGAGGCAGGGCCTACCACTGAGCATTGCACACACATATAGAAATTCTACACATGGTAAAACGAAATTTGAGGAGTATATATATATATATATATTCATATATATGTATGTATATGTATGTGTATATATGTATGTGTATGTGTGTGTGTGTGTGTGTGTATATATATATATATATATATATATATATATATGAGATAGAGAAACCTGATGCTGATTCTGAGATAAACTAATCTAAGACAGAAATTAACAATGATGAAAATAATCAGTGATGTAATATACACATGGCAAGGGAATGAACGAAGAGTACAGTAGCATTTATAAAGAAAATCATTGACAGTTCAGAAACTCATTTTTCTCCCTACTTTAGTAGCTCAGAAGATAGCCAGCATAGCAGGTCTATGTTAGGTTAACAAAAGAACAGGCTGACACAAGACACTAAACTCAGAGGTTCCCCTTCGTAATATGCCTACTTCTCTGACCAGAGCGTTTCCCACTTTGTAGTTTTATGGATGTTGTCTTCCCTCTGATGCCATTACTGAGTGATACAGGGACAGAGACATTCCCTACTTGACATTTTACATAGGCTATGACAAAGGCTGATCATATATGCCTGACCTAAGCCGTGGAATAATACAAATTGGGGTGGGGGAGGAAGTTATGTGTACTCTACTAGATGACTCAATAAACCTTGTGTAATGTCTTATCAGTGGTGTGTTTCTTGAGGCCTCTGCACAGTGGTTTCCAGGTATTTCCACACTGATTCTTGTGTTTACTAGATTTTTTTTTGCATTGATCACTTGAGCAGAAATTCTCAGTTAACTATATTTTACCTTCAAAATATCTCTGCTTCTCAAATTTCAATCTTGTTTCCCTTCAACCAGACTCCATAACTCTTCTCTGTTTACTTTCAGATATTACTTATCATGGTGGTAAACTTTATTTATTCCTTTTTTCTATTAATGCTAACTATACCAAGAATACATTACCCAGACACCTTGAAAAGGCAATGCACTAGAAAACTGAAGAATTCACTGAAATATAACAAGCCATTATCACCTTCTTCCCCTAACATCTTCATTTTATATAGGAGCCACTGTAAATTAAGTCAAAAGAAACAATTTAAAATTTAAAATTTTCAAAAATGGGTCTGCTTCTATAAGATCAACTTTTTTGGTTTCTATCTTTGAGTGAGAATGTGCAGTGTTTATTCCTCTGTGCCTGGCTTATTGTATTTAAGATTATGTCCTCCAGGCTCATCCATGTTGCTGATGATAGGATTTCATTATTTTTCATGGTAAAATAGTATTCCAGGCTGGGAGGGGTATTTGAGAGAGGATAGGAAAAGGTTGGTAAATGAATATAAAATGATAGAAGGAATAGATCCTAGTGTTCTACAGCACTGTAGGGTGACAATAAGTAACAATTTATTGTATATTTTCAAATATCTAGAAGAGAGGATTTTGAGTGTTCCCAACAAAAGAAATTATAAACGTTTGAGGTGATGAATATGCTAATCACCTTTATTTCATTATTATAGTGTATACATGTATCAAAATATTATACTGTACCTCATAAATTATATATAATTATGTGTCCATTAAAAATAATTATGACGAAATGTAAAAATCCTTAAGGTGGGAAAAAAAAAAGCAGGTCTTTAATAGAAATATGTTTTGCTTTGATACGGCTTTTTAACCATTCAACATATGAGCTATAATAAGCTGCCCTGGTTTCCTCTGGCTTGGGCGATCTTTGAAAACTATTCTGCATGTGGCCATGGAAACTTGCAGTGCTATGCTGCAGCAGCTCTGCCAATGAAATGAGTCAGAAACTGTTTGGAAACTCAAGACAATGACGGAAGCGCAGTTGTTTTTTCTTTTTTCCTGTTTTAATTAACCACAATCCCAACCTATGTAAGATATTTTCCAATGAGCCAGTACAGAAAATGGTATCAAGAGTGCAACACATTTAAGGCAGATTTGAAAGTCTTTCAATTTCTAATGCAGATCTGCTCAATATGTTTCACATGTAAGTAAACCGAGTGGATTTTATTTTCATTTTAATTGCTAGCACGGGCCATTTTTAAAAGACAAACTATTTTTTGATAAAACCAGTTTTTCAGACACTAAAATAAATTACACTGAAGTATGCAACCTTTTGAAATCTATTTTTTCATTGTCAATATAGCACATCCCATTATTTCAGATCTTAAACCTAATTAAATGTCAGAAAATGTCAGTGAGTTATCTTTCAGTAATGATTTGCTAATTATTCTACTTGGGTACTTTAAAAATCTTTAGATAGTACAGTCTTTCGTTTCAAGATCTTCAAGTTTGGTAAGTTTAATCATTAAAGAAGCTTCTGTTCCTCTTGTAGGGTCTTTATTTTCTGGTTCAACCTGCTAGAGAGAAGACAACAAATGAAAATGAACTAAGAAAAGTTGAAAAGTGTGCTTTTTCAATTTGGTTCTTCTTTGGTCACTCTCTCTCAGCCCTAGAGGCAATAGATGCTTTCTGCATTTACTATTTCATTATAATTTTGGATTATCTTTTTTATCTTTTTGTCACACTTAATAGTTGACAGTTTTGCATATTTCTCTTGTTCAGATTAATGTGGTCTCCTGTCCTGATTGGACTCTGATAAACACACTCTTCTTTTTCCCTGGTATTTTCTTCCCCTTTCTATGCTCCAACAAGTTACAACTGAAAATTGTTCCCAGGCCCAACCCCCCACTTTATCTCTCTGGGCCTCAAGCAAAATAAGTTACTTTTTATTTTTTATTCACTGTGTTCACTTGTTTGGAATACTCATCCAAGTACATCGAAGCGCTCTGCATACACATTCCTCCTTCATTACATGTGGAGCTTCTAAATAATACAACCATGTCTTTTTGTCTTTATTCCTCAAATGGTGAACATAATGCCTAGAACATAATAGGTACCTAATAGATAGTGTTTTGTGAAGAAAATTGTGAAAAAAGCATACGTTCACTAACAATAAAACAAGTCCCTTAGGCAAGTCATTTTAATCAGAAAGGGACATCAAAACCAGCATTAGATGTTTTGGAATTAAACGTAACATCTCACAATATTTAGTGACGTTTTGTAACATAGTGTGTGTTTCTTCCCTGTTTATATTTTTTATTGTAAAAAACATTTCGAGATTCCTCTTTGACAAAGTTAAGTTCTTATTTAAGAAACTGCTATTTTACTTTTTAAAAATAAACAGAAGTGAGGAGATTTTAAAATACTAAAATATGTCAGTTTTCTTTTCTTCCAGATGCAAGAAAATATTAGTATATGTGAATCATAATATGTATTTCCAGGTCCTCAATACATAGTAAAGTCTTCTTTCCTCCTCAGATCCATCCAGAAAACTTAAATGTCTGGTAATCTTTGAACATCTTTGGATTGCAGCTATTAATGTGTCAAAGCTATACTAGCCAACTTGAATTCAGTGAAAACCAGAAAAATCCAGTTATTGTGATTAAATTGTTTGGTTGAAGTTTTATACCAATGGGGACCAGTGGAGACTAAATTGAATCATAATTCCCCTTCTCCATGACCTCTGTCCCCATCACCCATGAAAATGTTATGTCCTAAATCTATACAGAGACTCTGAGGCATAGTTCAGAGAACAGAATTATCTACATCACTGTCATTGCCATGGCAGTTATTCAGCTTCTGCCTTAAAAAAATGTAATATTTCCACATGACCCTAAAAAGCCCCAGAAAGTCTTATAAAGGTAAACCAATCTATCCTGATGTCCTAATTATTAAGGGGCTATAAACACCAGTAAAGATACTCTGTTGAGTTATAAAAGGTTGATATTATAAAGTGTGAAAAAGTGTGGAAGGGACATGATTTACAAAATGTTTTCTTAAGCTTTAGATCAGAGAGTAAGTAAAAGGTTGAGGTGGTCATTTTCTATTTATAACCTGAATATATTGATCTCTTTTTGGCTCAGAAATCAGATTATGGAATTTAAAGAAAATCTCTATCCACAGTATGAAATGAGCTGAAAATGTCTTCTAGACATTAGACATTTTTTTCTGCTGTATACACAATAACTTTTAACACCAAGATCTAATGTATATCATAATAAGAATGAAGCAGAGACAAAATTGTAACAATGGCTTATAAACTTCATCATAACTCTAGAACAAAATTCAGCTCTTCTCACCACTTAGAGTCTGTGATTGGTTTTGAGTTCATTGATAGCAATGCATTTATTTATAGAAAACCCTGACTACTTACCTCTCGAGGATTAGACTCTTAAAAAGGTTTTAGCAAGAAGATTTAGGAATTATATAGTCCTACACTTCAGGTCACCATGATTCTGCAAAGTCCTAAAAGTGTGATTTCTCATTATAATTTCATCTCTGAGGGCAAAAGAACTATAACACTGTGTCTTACTGCCTATTGGATATTTTATGGTTGCAGCTTTTCTGAATTACTAAAAATGCTACAGAAAAAATAAGTAAAAGGTTGTTCTTCTTTCCTACTATATCTGTTAGCAATAGTTTATTCTCTGCCTTCTCTCATCTAATT